>NC_000011.10:39453939-39605454 GCF_000001405.40 Homo sapiens | reverse complement strand
TTTATTTCATTGAGCAGTGGTTTGTAGTTCTCCTTGAAGAGGTCCTTCACGTCCCTTGTAAGCTGGATTCCTAAGTATTTTATTCTCTTTGAAGCAATTGTGAATGGGAGTTCACTCATGATTTGGCTCTCTGTTTGTCTGTTATTGGTGTATAAGAATGCTTGTGATTTTTGTACATTGATTTTGTATCCTGAGACTTTGCTGAAGTTGCTTATCAGCTTAAGGAGATTTTGGGCTGAGACAGTGGGGATTTCTAGATATACAATCATGTCGTCTGCAAACAGGGACAATTTGACTTCCTCTTTTCCTAATTGAATACCCTTTATTTCCTTCTCCTGCCTAATTGCCCTGGCCAGAACTTCCAACACTATGTTGAATAGGAGTGGTGAGAGAGGGCATCCCTGTCTTGTGACAGTTTTCAAAGGGAGTGCTTCCAGTTTTTGCCCATTCAGTATGATATTGGCTGTGGGTTTGTCATAGATAGCTCTTATTTTGAGATACGTCCCATCAATACCTCATTGAGAGTTTTTAGCATGAAGCGTTGTTGAATTTTGTCAAAGGCCTTTTCTGCATCTATTGAGATAATCATGTGGTTTTTGTCTTTGGCTCTGTTTATATGCTGGATTACATTTATTGATTTGCATATATTGAACCAGCCTTGCATCCCAGGGATGAAGCCCACTTGATCATGGTGGATAAGCTTTTTGATGTGCTGCTGGATTTGGCTTGCCAGTATTTTATTGAGGATTTTTGCATCAATGTTCATCAAGGATATTGGTCTAAAATTCTCTTTTTGGTTGTGTGTCTGCCCGGCTTTGGTATCAGGATGATGCTGGCCTCATAAAATGAGTTAGGGAGGATTCCCTCTTTTTCTATTGATTGGAATAGTTTCAGAAGGAATGGTACCAGTTCCTCCTTGTACCTCTGGTAGAATTCGGCTGTGAATCCATCTGGTCCTGGACTCTTTTTGGTTGGTAAGCTATTGATTATTGCCACAATTTCAGCTCCTGTTATTGGTCTATTCAGAGATTCAACTTCTTCCTGGTTTAGTCTTGGGAGAGTGTATGTGTCGAGGAATTTATCCGTTTCTTCTAGATTTTCTAGTTTATTTGCGTAGAGGTGTTTATAGTATTCTCTGATGGTAGTTTGTATTTCTGTGGGATTGGTGGTGATATCCCCTTTATCATTTTTTATTGCGTATATTTGATTCTTCTCTCTTTTTTTTCTTTATTAGTTTTGCTAGTGGTCTATCAATTTTGTTGATCCTTTCATAAAACCAGCTCCTGGATTCATTAATTTTTTTTGAAGGGTTTTTTTTTTCTCTATTTCCTTCAGTTCTGCTCTGATTTTAGTTATTTCTTGCCTTCTGTTAGCTTTTGATTGTGTTTGCTCTTGCTTTTCTAGTTCTTTTAATTGTGATGTTAGGGTGTCAATTTTGGATCTTTCCTGCTTTCTCTTGTGGGCATTTAGTGCTATAAATTTCCCTCTAAACACTGCTTTAAATGTGTCCCAGAGATTCTGGTATGTTGTGTCTTTGTTCTCGTTGGTTTCTAAGAACGTCTTTATTTCTGCCTTCATTTCATTATGTGCCCAGTAGTCATTCAGGAGCAGGTTGTTCAGTTTCCATGTAGTTGAGTGGTTTTGAGTGAGTTTCTTAATCCTAATTTCTAGTTTGATTGCACTGTGGTCTCAGAGATAGTTTGTTATAATTTCTGTTCTTTTACATTTGCTGAGGTGAGCTTTACTTCCAACTATGTGGTCAATTTTGGAATAGGTGTGGTGTGGTGCTGAAAAAAAAGGTATATTCTGTTGATTTGGGGTGGAGAGTTCTGTAGATGTCTATTAGGTCCGCTTGGTGCAGAGCTGAGTTCAATTCCTGGGTATCCTTGTTAACTTTCTGTCTGTTGATCTGTTTAATGTTGACAGTGGGGTGTTAAAGTCTCCCATTATTATTGTGTGGGAGTCTAAGTCTCTTTGTAGGTCACTCAGGAGTTCCTTTATGAATCTGGGTGCTCCTGTATTGGGTGCATATATATTTAGGATAGTTAGCTCTTCTTGTTGAATTGATCCTTTTACCATTATGTAATGGCCTTCTTTGTCTCTTTTGATCTTTGTTGGTTTAAAGTCTGTTTTATCAGAGACTAGGATTGCAACCCCTGCCTTTTTTTGTTTTCCATTTGCTTGGTAGATCTTCCTCCATCCTTTTATTTTGAGCCTATGTGTGTCTCTGCACGTGAGATGGGTTTCCTGAATACAGCACAGTGATGGGTCTTGACTCCTTATCCAATTTGCCAGTCTGTGAATGAAATGAAGCGAGAAGGGAAGTTTAGAGAAAAAAGAATAAAAAGAAACGAACAAAGCCTCCAAGAAATATAGGACTATGTGAAAAGACCAAATTTGCATCTGATTGGTGTACCTGAAAGTGACGGGGAGAATGGAACCAAGTTGGAAAACACTCTGCAGGATATTATCCAGGAGAACTTCCCCAATCTAGTAAGGCAGGCCAACATTCAGATTCGGGAAATACAGAGAATGCCACAAAGATACTCCTCGAGAAGAGCAACTCCAAGACACATAATTGTCAGATTCACCAAAGTTGAAATGAAGGAAAAAATGTTAAGGGCAGCCAGAGAGAAAGGTCGGGTTACCCTCAAAAGGAAGCTGATCAGACTAACAGCAAATCTCTTGGCAGAAACTCTACAAGCCAGAAGAGAGTGAGGGCCAATATTCAACATTCTTAAAGAAAAGAATTTGCAACCCAGAATTCCATATCCAGCCAAACTAAGCTTCATAAGTGAAGGAGAAATAAAAATTCTTTACAGACAAGCAAATGCTGAGCGATTTTGTCACCACCAGGCTTGCCCTAAAAGAGCTCCTGTAGGAAGCACTAAACATGGAAAGGCACAACCGGTACCAGCCACTGCAAAATCATGCCAAAATGTAAATAAAGACCATCGAGACTAGGAAGAAACTGCATCAACTAAAATATTTTCTTAAATGCTAGAGTTTTACTTTCTTTCAGTCCTACTAAGTCAAAGCATTATTAAATGAGCATAAATGGAAGATACATAATCCTGTCAAAATGAAACATTAATCCCAATTTTACCTATATTTCTCTGATCCAAAGTTTTGGGTTGATAGAGGGCTTGAAAAAGATATAATAAAATTTCTTTTTTTATCTCGCCCTTTATGTTAGCTAAGCCTGATGTATCATAATAACTGCAGTTGTTCTTCCTTTGGCTGTGATGTAGCAGGATTGTTTGGTTCAGCTAAAAACAGATGAGAGACATTATTGCTATATATGATAATTTTTTTGTTTATGTACATTTTGAAATCAGTATAAATGAAGGATTTGAGAAGACACTTTTAGGTCATGTTATATTCCAAATCTGTGTAAGAACCATGACATAGTTCTACCAATGGGAATTAAATTTATTTTTGGTACAAAACCTTTTAAAAATTCCATTTATTTGAACACTAGACAAGTCAATTTTCCCTCAGCCCCTTCTCAGAACAGTGCTAGTATCACACATCTGTTTACTCTTCAAAACTCAGTTCTGGCCAGGCTCGGTGGCTCACGTCTGTAATCACAGCACTTTGGAAGGCTGAGGTGGGCAGATTACTTGAGGTCAGGAGTTCAAGACCAGCCTAGCCAACATGGTGAAACCCTATCTTTACTAAAAATAGAAAAATTAGCCGAGTGTGTTGTGGCACACACCTGTAATCCCAGCTACTCGGGAGGCTGAGGCAGCAGAATTGCTAGAACCTGGGAGGCAGAGGTTGCAGTGATGCAGTGAGCCGAGATTACATTGCACCACTATATTCCAGCCTGGGCAACAGAGTGAAACTCCATTGCAAAGCAAAACAAAACAAAACAAAACAAAACTCACTTGTAAATGCTGTCTCATTCTTTCCACTAATTGTTAATGTTTATTCACTAATTGCTCAGTCCTCATCAAGCTCTTGCCTTAAACCAAACCCCCAACCCTCAGAAGTATTCACCTTGGCCATCCTTTATCCAAGGCACTACTAGAACAAGGTAAGATCTCAGCTTTGTTTTATCAACAGTTTATTTTTACATTTATTCCAGAGAGCCAAAATTGACAATTAAACAAGTCTACATTATCATTTTAAATGCCAGTGATAAAGAAAATATGATGCAGGTAAACTACAAAAGAAAATTCTATTACCACTTTGAGACTGTTTTTTTTTTTAGTCTTATGAAAACAGCTATTTTAGCATTACTTAAACTCAGATTTATCATTATTTACTCTTGTAATGAAAGAATAAGGTAATTGAAGTAAGTAGGTTAATGTAATCTTTTTAATCCACACTTGTCTTTCATTTTTCCAGCTTTATTAAGGTTTGATTTTAAAAAGGCTATATTTATAGGATATACAATATGTTTTGATATATGTATACATTGTGAAATGACCACAATCAAGCTAATAAAAATATTCATCAACTCAGTTACCATTTTTGTGTGTTTGTGTTCATGTGATAACACTTGAGATCTATTATCTTAGCAAATTTGAGATATACATTTTTAGTAACTATAGTCACCATGCTGTACATTAGGTCTCCAGTACATATTAATCTTATAACTGAAAGCCTGTACCCTTTGATCAATATTTCCCTTTTCCCCACACCCTTTCTGCACTTCTCTGGTGACTAGCAATCTACTCTCTGTTACTACGAGTTTGACTTTTTTTTTTTTTAATTCTTACTATAAGCAAGACCACACAGTATTTATCTCTCTGTATCTGGCTTATTTGACGTAACATGACCTTAAGTTTCATTCATGTTGTTGCAAATGGCAAGATGCTTTTTCTTTTAAGGCTGAATAATATTCCATTGTGTGTGTGTGTATTTATGTGTGTGTGTGTGTGTGTATGTATGTGTTTGTGTGTGTACCTACCACATTTTCTTCATCCATTTATTTATTGACAGACAGTTTGCTTCCACATCTTGGCTTTTGTGAATAATGCTGCAATAAATATGAGAACATAGATATATCTTCAAAATAGTGATTTTATTTCCTTTGGATATATAAGCAGAAGTGGGATTATTGGATCCTGTAGTAGTTATATTTTTAATATTTTTGAAGAAACTTCATACTGTTTACCATAATGGCAATACCAATATACATTCCCATCAGCGGTGAACAAGGGTTCTCTTCTCCATATCCTTGGAAATATTTGTTATCAGTTGTTTTTTGATAGTTTCCATTCTAACTGGTGTGAGATAATAGCTCACTGTGGTTTTGATTTGCATTTCCCTGATAATTATATTGAACATCTTTTCATGTATCTGTTGGCCATTTGTACATCTCCTTCAGAAAAGTATCCATATAGGACTTTTGTCTATTTTTAAATTAGATTTTCTTTTCCTTGCTTCCTTCCTTTCTTCCTTCCTTCTTTCTTTCTTTCTCTCTCTCTTTTCCTTCCTTCCTTCCCTATTTCTTCTTTCTCTCTTTCTTTTCTTTTCTCTTTTCTTTTCTTTCTTTCTTTCTCTTTTTCTCTTTCTTTCTTTCTCCTTTCTCTATTTCTTCTTCCTTTTTTTTTTGCTATTTAGCTGCTAAATGAGTTCCTTATATATTTCCATGTGATCCCTTTTTATCAGATACAATCATAAAAAAGAAAGAAACCCAAATGGCTAAAGAAATCCTGTGAAAGAAAAACAAAGCTGGAGGCATCACACATCCTGATTTCAAATTATGTTACAAAGCTGTAGTAACAATATGGTACTGGCATAAGAACAGACAGGGAGACCAATGGAACAGAACACAAGAGTTCAGAAATAAGCCCACACATATATGGTCAACTAATTTTTACAAACTTGCCAAGAACACATACTGGGCCAGGAAAGACTCTTTAATAAATGTTTCTTTGGAAACTGCATAATAATGGGCAAAAAGAAACAAATAAAATTGTATTCTTCCCTTACCCATTTCACAAAATTAAATTCAAAATGGATTGAAGACTAAAATATAAGATCTAAAGTCACAAAACTCCTAGAAGAAAACACATGGGTAAAGTTCCTTGTCATTGATCTTGCCAGTAATTTTTGGATTTGACACCAAAAGTTAACAAAAGCAAAAATAAACAAGTGGGAGGGACTATATCAAAATAAAGTTTCTTCACAGCAAAGGAAAAAAATCAACACAATGAAAAAGTTAATGTAATCTTAAGTCTCTTCACAGTCATGGATATGGGTCTCAGATATGTTAAAATGTAAATAATGTGCCTCTTAGATTTGAAGGAAAGTATTCCTGAACCTTTCAGTGGCAAGTCTGTCTCTTAGTGATAAGGCATCATTAGTTAATGTCTTAAAAGTTCCCAGAAGTGATCCACTTTGCTTCCTCAAGAGACTCACGCACATTGACAGAGGATTGAGGGTGGGGTATGATAGTCTTGTTTGATAAATTCTTGATGGTGTGGCCCATCTTCTCTAAAGCCTTCCACAAAAGAATCAACTTTTTGGACTCTCAGGATTACATGTTTGCATATCCCATTATACTTTATTTTGTTAAGTCCTGGGAGATGAGAGCTGAAATAAAAGTGTGTCTAACCTTCATAGTTCCTTTAAAAGTCAGGGACTGAAAGAGGTAGAAGAAGCAATAGTTAGTTAGTATATGTGCTTGAATGATTTTTTAAAAATGTAAATCATTATCTTGTAACATAATAATAGGCAGGAGAGATTTCTTGGAAGACAAGGGAAGATACCCTTGGCAGGAGATCTAAAATCATCAGGTGATTTTTCATCTTTCTCTCTCACTTCCCTTCCCTAAAAATATTTTAAAATCATATTGTTTTATTTTCTCAAGAAATACATTAAAATATTTTATAGGTATAGTATTTCATTATTTGAATATGTCTGAATGAACTCCCATAGTCAGGATGGTAGTAAACAGACTTACACATTAAAAAGATCTCCGTTGAAGAATTAGTAAGATCTGTTCAATATTTCCAACATGTCTGCTCTAAAATAATAATAGTAATAATCATAATAAGATTACCTTACAACTTAGAAATGATCATAAGATGTGATTCCAAAAACATAAAAATGTTACCTATTGAAGAGTGAAAACTTAAACCCAGAAATAGGCTAAATATCTTTTTCAGAACTGTGTATTTTTGAAATATATATTAAATATACTTTTGAGCATTTTGTTGGACAGCAATAGTACTTTGACTTTTAATAAAAGTCACTCAGCAGAGAGAGGAAGTTGAAATTTTAATATCAAGCCTGGGTCCATCTATAGTCACAATCATTCCTCTCACTGAAATAATTAAACTGGAACATTGGAGAAGAGAGAACAGATGTAAATCTATTGGATGTTCAGCAAAAAGATCATAAGCATTTGCTGGCTAGGTCTTGAAATAATACCAGATTCCTTTTTAAAAATACTGTTACAGCAGAACATAAAAATGAGGAAAATAGGAAATATTTTTTAAGATTTTTTTTCCCACTGTAGGTGATTGCCTTAGAATTGGGTGTGGGAGTTTTTTGTTTGTTTGTTTGTTTGTTTTGTTTTGTTTTTCTCTCGGAGTGCTTTAACTGAGAAGTCAGGATTTTCATGCTCAAAATGCATAATTTCCTTTGGGAGCACACATACACACAAATATTCTTGCGTAAAGATAATTCTCCACTTATCCAAGAAAATAGTTGTACCTCTCCTTAGACACAAATAGTGGAAAGAAAATGTAGTAGAGAAGAAGCCAGCAGGAAAGAGGGAACTGTAAGGAGAGCATAATAAATATAGCTTCATTGGGATGGAGCCCAAAAAAGGGCAATTATTGAGTGAAAAAAGAAGCAGCAACTACATAATGAAACAAACTAAAAAAGAAAATAATGAAGGGGAGAAAATACTCTTTAGGAAAACATACCGAGAATTCAAATGATAACGATTTGCAGTTAGGGCAGTAAAGCCTTGATAATATACAGCTGGAATAGAATAAATGCATAATATGTTGCCATGTCCTCTAGTCACTGTAAGAAAGGACAATAAAGGTCATAGACCAAGTTTAAGAGTACCTGAGAGCACTATTGAGACAATCAACTAACCATTCTTTCTAGGATGTTTGAAATAGACACATTTTTGTTTTGCTTTGCTCTGTTTGCTCTGCCAGTGCCTACTTGGAAACCGCTTCTCTCCTCTCTAAAATAAACATGTTTTATCCTATTCATTAAGGTTGATGTTGACTTTACTTATCCTAACTCCCAGAAATGGGCACCTGATGTATTCCTAATCAATTTTAGCAGTCTGTGACCCCCGGTACATTTGGGGATCGGTACATGCCTCAAGGCAGGGAAGCCAGAGATTTCTAAAGGTCTTTACCTGAACTATTCAAAAGACATTTTTGTTCTCCAGGTTATTCTAGGATATGAGCATGTTGGACAATTGTTCCCCATACATTAGCCACTTGAAGAAGATGTGTGAGTAGTGTTAAAAGAGACAGGGATCTGATGACATTATTTGTGACTTTGTGTTCATATTTGAAGAGAGTTCTACTCAAGGAATTCAGTTATGTGAGCCAGTCTATCCCACTCCTTCAACTTGAGGTAGTATGGATATGGTTCTTGGGCTTGCAGTGTCATGTGTACTGGCTTAATCAAGGATTTTTGGTAATAAAATAAATTGATGAGCAAACTAGGTCTGCTTTACTAAAGGTCCAACATATAGTGAAGATTGTGTTTTCTCCTTCAGAAATTTACTTCAGAATTCATATGTTCTGTTTTAATGTCTACATCTAGCAAAAATTCTCCTTCAATTTGATCTCTAGACCCATTTCCAGCCAACTTCCTTTTCTTTGTTTCTATGTGTCCAGACACACACATCTTCTCAACAGAATTGTCTATACATAGTCTCTCCAATTGATAACCTCTTGCATTTTTTTTTTTTTTAGATGGAGTTTCACTTTTTTTAACCAGGTTGGAGTGCAATGACGCGATCTCGGCTCACTGCAACCTCCGCCTCCCATGTTCAAGCAATTCTCCTGCCTCAGCCTCCCAAGTAGCTGGGATTACAGGTGCCTGCCACCACGCCCGGCTAATTTTTGTATTTTTTAGTAGAGATGGGATTTCTCCATGTTGGCCAGGCTGATCTCAAACTGCAAAGCCACCTTTGCAGATGACATGATCATTTATGTAGAAAATCTGAATTACAGCCATGCTGCAGGAAACAAGGCTAATACACAAAAGACAATCACTTTCTTGTATACCAACAACAGGTAAGTTTAATTTAAAATTTTAAATGCATTACCATTATGTTAGCACCCAAAAAGTAACAAAATAGGTACAAGATCTATATTAGAAAAGTTACAAAACTCTCATAAAAGATATAAAAGAAGAACTAAATAAATGGCAAGATAGTCCTTGTTCATGGATAGGAAGACCCAATATTACTTAATCATTTTAATGTTTATGGGATTTGTATGAATGCCATCTGTTTCATTTATAATATTAGTAATTTCCGTCTCTTCTCTCTTGTATTTTTCCTAGTTTGCTTGGCTAGAAGCTTATTGATGGTATTCAACTTTTTAAAGAACCGGCATTTGGTTTCGTTGAATTTGTTTCTGTTGATTTTATGTTTTTAATTCCATTGATTTCTGCTCTAAGTTTTATTATTTCTTCTCTTTTGTTAGGCTGGGATTTAATCTGTTGTTCTTTTTCTAGTTTCCTGAAGTGGAAGCTTAGATTACTGATTTTACATTTTTCTTCGTTTCTAATGAATTCATTCAGTGCTATAAATTTTCCTGCAAGCACTTTTTTGCCTCATCCAACAAATCTTGATGTTACCTTTTCATTGCATGAACTTCAGAATCTTTTCAATATTTCTCTGGAGATTTCTTTTCTGATTCATTTGTTATTTAGAAGTATGTTGTTCAAGGCATTTTTTTTCCTTCAAGAAAATCAAATATCTTACCCACTATGGCCTTCCTTCAGCCCTTGAATGGCTCTACTTAAACTTAGAATAAATATCATACCATGTACAATGCTTCTACATAATCTATCTCTTGTCCCATCTCCCATGATGTTCCCTTCTTTTCAGCAGTAATAATTTTTCATTGTTTTCACTCAAGTATGTCAAATTCTATATATACATGTAGAACATATATATAGAATTTGACATACTTGAGTGAAAACAATGAAAAATTATTACTGCTGAAAAGAAGGGAACATCATGGGAGATGAGACTATATATATATATATATATGCCATATATATGCCATATATGTATATATTGCATTTGAACTTTCTGTTTTATTCTCTGGGCATTTACTCATTCTTCAAGCCCCAGCTTAAATGCCACATTCTTAGATGTGCCTTCTGTGGCTTTCTAATTACTCTTTATCAGATAAACCTGTTTTATTTTCTTCTGAGCACCATCACAGTTTGTAATTACATTGTTTGTTTATTTTTTTTTATTTATTCTCCATCTTCTCCACAGTAGAATAAAAGCTCCAAGAGGGTAGACATTGTCTATATTTTTCATAATTTTGTCTCTTGTTTCTAAAACAATGTCCACCATAAAATACTTTTTATGAATAAATCAATATATGGATAAATAGGATTTTATGAAGTTAATCCCATCAATATTTACAATGAGCTTGTGAAACAGAAACTGAGGTTACAAGAATGTATTTGTTTATTTACATATTTATTTATTGATTTTCACAAGGCTTAGTAAAGGTATGGTTACACCTCTAACTGAGATTATTTCTCTTATCCATTTTATGCTTTTATTTCCAATTGAGATACACATTCGTAATTCATTTAAATTGAGAATTTGACAGTTTAGTAGAGGAAAATGGTCATATTATATTGGATGTGTAATATAAGCATCTATGCTTTCCAGTTTCCTGTGGTACCCCTTTCATAAACTTTTTTTAAAAAAGATCAAATCCAACAGCCTAGGTGACTGGAGGGATATAAACAATAGTATTGATAACAATAAATATTAACAGTAGCTGACACATATATAATGTTTGCTGTGTGCCAAACATTATTGCAAGTACTATGTGTGATTAGATGATTATGTAACTTAAATTCAGTCAGCACCCCTTAAATATCTTCTAAGTCTTCGTGGAAAATTTTAAGATGGAGTCTCACTCTGTCGCCCAGGCTGGAGTGCAGTGGTGCGATCTCGGCTCACTGCAAGCTCTGCCTCCCGGGTTCACGCCATTCTCCTGCCTCAGCATCCCAAGTAGCTGGGACTACAGGCGCCCGCCACCATGCCCAGCTAATTTTTTGTATTTTTAGTAGAGACGGGGTTTCACTGTGTTAGCCAGGATGGTCTTGATTTCCTGACCTCATGATTCGCCTGCCTCGGCCTCCCAAAGTGCTGGGATTACAGGCTTGAGCCACCGCGCCCAGCCTGTGGAACATTTTAATATATCTTATCTGTTACTTATTACCTTTTATTCCAAATGGCTAATCTATATTCTAGGATTTTTCAAGTGTTTGTACTTCTCTCCTCCTTAACATCTTGCCACATATTCCTCCAGCAATTTTCATATACTTTGCTCTAAAAAGTCCTAGCTTTTTCCTTCAGTATGTAACAAGAAGCTACAAGAATTTATCACATTTTACAAAGGACCTGGCATGCTTACAAGGCAGATAAGGGAAGAAAACAGGAGAAAAAAGCTGATTAGATACCACTGCTCCAAACTCTATTAGCTTACTACATAATAGAGACTCTCCCTTTGTAAAAGGAGGAAACATAACGTGGTGTGTAAAAACTCAGAAGCCCTGAAGCCATATGTATCTGGGTTCAAATTCTATCTCCACAACTTAATTGCAATGAGACTTTAGGTGAGTTACTAAACCATTCTAAGTTTCAGTTCCCTTGTCTATAAAATCAGTATAATGTATATATAATACAATGATAAATGAATTTAAATGATCCAAAATGTACTAGCTTACCATAAATAAAATATTTATGATTATTTCTATTATTAATAAAAATGGCATAAGGAGCCATAAGGATCTGGGAAAGGAAACTCTTGGAGTTATAGTTTCATTGAAAGTCTGGGCTGACATAAAATGTCTCTCTCAAGAAGATTTCTCAGTGGAGGCCTAGGAAGCTTGTTATTTAACACTTGGGGGAATCTGTACTCTACTTACTATTATCACCTTGATTCATGCCATTTTGCTTGTTTGTTTTTCTTTCCTACCATTTTGCCATGTCTCATATTTGATGCATCTCGTAGTGCCAATGCACTTGAGTACTCAGCCTTATTAATCAAGGAAGTAATATTTATTACAACTGCTCATTTTTGTTTCAGTCCATCTGAAGTCAAAAGTCTCCATACATGTCAGCATACTGATAGATATGTATTGAACAAAGAAAGGATTTCAGCAATTCTAGGATACTTTCATACCTAACCTAGATAATTTAAACATGTTGAAGGTTAAGGATATTTTCCATAAATGCTACCTAGATAATAGCTTGCATAGACTCTAGAATTTTGACTTTGCAGATATAATCTAGGTACCTAATTATATTCAAGAAGAAATTTAATAATTTCCTTTCATTCATTTCTCTGATAAAGCCTAACCTCTAAGTGGCTAATAATAGTTCATGATAAATATTTAATAATAGCCATAGAATTTTTATATTTCAATTATACATTTTTATAGTAAGACTATATTATAATACAAATTAAATTTCTGTTTCTAACCTCTAGTCTTTAAAATGTAGAGCGTTTTGTTCAGCTCTATAGAAGAGCAATTATCTAGATGTACAAATTTTGTACACAGTATTTAATAAAGGCTTAATGAATGACTGGTTTATTTGATATACTGATTATCTGATTGCACTAATGATTCTTTCTAAGTTAAGTATATTGACTTAAACTGACTTTTCTCTATGTCATTGAAAACCAGTATGGACTGGAGAGAACTAAATGTAACACAATTTTAGACATTCTTAATAAGCCTCACTTAATTATGTTTAGATTCTTATTATGCATATGTTACAGAGCATAAAGAGAGTACTACCATCAAGTAATGTTTGTAGCAAGTCAGAATAACTACGAACTTCTTTAACAAAAAAGAAACAGTTTTGTTGAATCCTATCGTTAGTAGGAAACACTATAATCACTAGTAATTAGTAAGAAAACATTTAGAAACTTACAATTAAATGTTAAATTTGAAAGTTTTTACTTCAGATATGATCTTCTGTCAAGGTTTTCTTATATGAGTGCAAATCCCCAAAGAAGAGATTGTGAAATGAGTAGTCTTAAAATTAGAGTATCAATAGAAGGATGATAGTTTATTTTCTTGTTTTTTCCTGCCACAGTAGTGAATTGATTTTTGATCTTTAACATGACACACAATGATAAAACTTCCTTATTTAGACTTGCAAATATATATCTTAAAAGTAGAATTATAGTCAATTTAATATATAATCCAACTTAGTGTTAGGGAAACTACATAGAAACATGTTCCTCCACCTACCCCACCTCAAAGAAGAAACATAGTAATTTAAAAAATACATTTTTTCTTCTCATAAAATATTGTGCAACATACAGAACACAAATTAGGTAACTGATATTAAATATTGATTTATTCATCAATCCAAAGGCTTATTTATATTCCTTTTAATATTTTTTAATTTTTAATTTTGTATTGATAGATCATTGTTGTACTTACTTTATTTATATTATTTTAGGACCATTAATTAAAATTGGCATTAAGCTCCGTCAAACAATTGAGTTATTTTTTCTTAGTTTTTTTACCCCACTCAAAAATCAAAATTAAGTTTGAGCCTAGCAAGATTGAAGCTAATGTGTCATTACAGAATACTAAATGCCAAGTTATATATACCAGTTGGGAAGACAATTAGAAGCTTCAAGAATCTACTTTTTTGTTATACCTCAAACCACAAAGCTAATTATCTGTTTAGTGGTTTTATTATACATTGATTACATATCATTTGTGGTTATTAGTAAAAGAGACTGGGCTTATATTTTGCAGATATAAATTCATTATATGTGTTTTTTGAGTCCAGCATTGATCAACCTCAGCTTTTTTCTATGTTGCTATTAACTTGTGGTTTGAAGCGAAGAAAGACCCTTGGACAAATTGAAATTCAAGCCAAAAGATACTTCATGATTTGCTTTTCATAATATAATTAATGTTGAAATATCTAATTATATACAACTTAAAAAGACATTCATTGTTTAATTTTGTTGCTCTTTTTTTCTTAACAGATCCAAGCATTTTACTTTTCTATTTAACTTAGTAAGGACATTTTAAGATAAATTAAGTCTCTAGACACTTATATCCAATTAAATTATTTGCAGCCTCATATGTTTACAACCTCTTAACTGCCATATTCCTATCACTTGTTTTTATCTCTACTGAAGCAATAAAAGCAAAAGTGCAAGTGCAATAGAGAAAGAATATTAACAAAAATACTAAGCTAAATGTCAACTTCATGTGTATCAATACTCCTGACTGTTACGTATCATAATATCAAGATATTATTCAGCAGTTTCAGTGTGTTTACATTACACTGTAGTCTAGAAAATGAATTAGAAAACTAATAAAAGATCTTAGGATTCAGTGAAGCAATGAGTATCCAAATGAACATACAAAATAGCAATCTTTGAAAACAGCATATTCTCCAACCTCTAAGATTTAATAGAATTAAATATTTCCAATGCACTTTTCATTTAATTTGAAAGTATTCAATTAGATAATCTATAAAAAATACTCCAAACATCTTACCACATGATATTCCTATACTAAAGTAATTAAATGAATGGGAATATAGTATAACATGGTTGAAATGGTTACATCTTTGAGAAATCTTTAGAGAATATATGCAAATTTCATGCCTGTTATATATTTAACTAAACATTGAATTACTTTTACAATACTTCAGCAGTTGGTTCATTTATTCCATCTTGAGATCTTCAGTGAGTTCAAGAAATGGCTTCAGAGTCAAGCAGTGACCACATAAATATAAGCTCTGAGACAAACAAGCAGATTTCATTCTCTGTAATAAGATTATATATTTTGCCATTGTCAAGCAAAATAGACTTTCTATGTGCCAGTAGACTCTCTTTTTCTAATGGTGAACTTGTGTACTTTTGACATTCTCTTTCCATTTGATCAAGAGTGATACTCAAGTTTGCTTTGGAAGAAAAAAGCCTCATTAATAATAAATAGCTTGACACAAGATCTTAAGATCTAGCATAGTGTGCTACAATAATCAGTTCTCCCTGGATTTGCATCTTCTTTATTTTCCTTTGATTTAAAGCAAAGCCTACACACCAGAGAGAAGACCGGACTCTAGCGCATGTTATTCATCGTTTTTTGCCTTCCATATGTTCCTTGCATACAGCGACTATTTCTTTGTTATCAAATTTAAAATATTCTCTCATTTTTTTCATTAACTGATGCAGATACAACCAAATTTAACCAAAAAGTGTGTTCATTTGTACCATTATCTCTAATACTCTTAAGTAAATATTACAAATGTGATTTTACTGATGAGGAAACTCTAATTCTAAGGTGTATCTTCCTAGGAGCTCTCAGATCTCCTTTTTGGACAACCTCCCATTTTATGTAGTCCCATGGAAAGTAGTATGGAGATTCTTTATCTCACATGCCCCAGACTTGGTAAATTATATGTGCTCTACATCTTGTGCAACTGGTGCAAGAACATGACAAATGAAAACAATTCACTGCTTTGGCAGTGCTAGTAAGGATTGTCCCTGACTTTGGCTGTGGTTCTTGCTGTGCATGTCTTCTAATGACTCTTTTGTCTGCCTCCCATTTACCACTTAGACTGTGACTTCTTGGACTCATGTCTGCTGAAGGCACACTAGAGTCAATTTCAGAAACTTGCCAGGAAAATTACTTGGACAAAGATAAGAATCTGAGAGAACTATAATTGTTTCTGACGTGAATGGTTGGTAATGGCAGAACTAAATTATGCATTTAGATTAGTTCTAATTCTGAGACCAGTTCTCTTTCCCCTACACCAACTTTTCATTCTGCAAATATCTAGATTCTGTGTAAAGAGTTTTTAACTCAATAACTTCTTAACAGAGAAGAATTTGTTTCTTCATAAAAAATATTGAGTCCATGTTTTTATTCGGAGATTTTTCAGAAGGAAAACAAATTTATTTATATGCATGTTTTATTAGTCTTCTATTTTCTCTTTTCTGGCCTAAAACCATAACTGATCTTGAGGTCATCAGTTAATGTAAATCTGAGAGAAGCTGTATCACAAAATTAAATAGAAATTTGGTAATGAACTTAAGTGAATTTTGACAATGTGGAGACCAACAAGCTAATTTAATAACCTACAAATTAAAGTACATAGCTCTCCTTTATTTAGTGTACTTAGTAGGTACAAAGTGAAACACAATTTTTATTATCTCATCAAAGAAAATATGAAAACGTTTTCTGTATCCTTGTATTTTTATTTATATCTTTAGAAGGCATAAATTTAAATTTGACTTAAAAAGTCAAAATATGTATTTTGCTCTGAGTAACATAGATGTGTTGTTTGTTTATATAAATGAATAAGTATAAAACAATGCATACGTTGTAGAATTTTAACCATGTAAAATTACACATGAAATGACAGGGTTAGAAGTTTATGTTACTGTCAGCTGAGGTCATGTTAACTTGAAATATCCAAATGGTAAGCTTCCAGAGCCTTCAGCCATTCTAATGCTTTGAGTACATACAAAATTTAGCATGTTAAATATATTCCATTCCCTTTCCACTAATTATTAATATGATCATATCACAAAATTGTACTTCATTAAAGAATTTTGAACTGATTCAAATTCAGCTAGTTTGTTCTATCTGTACTATATTTTTTATTTAAATAAATTCCTTGAAGGTAAGGATTACCAAGTCTTTGATCTCTCACAAAAAGAAACATGAAGGCTTAATCTAGTACACACTTAGGGAAGATTTTTTTGAATGAATAAATGATTGAATAAAAAACAGTATATACCAGTGCTTCAAAGATATATAAAAATAAATCAGAATTAATCTTTTACAATGAAAGGATTTATGATTTCAAAAGAAGTTGACTCTCTACATCTGGGCTGTATGATCACAAGGAAATTTAGAAGGCTCTAAATTTAGAAGACTTAAACATAAATCTAATCTGAAAATTAAACTATACATTGAGAAAAAGACTGGGTATTTTTGAATTATTATACAAAATATTTCTAAAAGTAAGATTATGAATAAAGATAATAAATCAAATAAACATATAAATCAGATTTTCCTAGCAATTTTGCATACTTTCCAATTGACATACTAACTAGTTTAAGAGAACCATTTTTATAATGCTCTTAGTAGGAAACATCTTTGTTTAATTTCATCATTTCAAAAAAATTACCTTTGATTTTATTTTCATAGTTCCAAAATCTACCTTTATCTGAAGTTTTAATTCCATAAACAATGACACACTTTCTTCAAAAATGAATTCACAAATGTTTATTGGAACCAATCTGGGTAGAGGATGACTTGCATCACATATCGGTCCAGCTGTTGTCCTTGGATTGTAGTAACTGTACCCGCAGTGGTCAGGAATAGTTAAATGTCATTACTCTTGTGAAGAATGTAGGAATTCCAAAGAGCTACTGAAACTCTTCAGAATGTCTTTTATGCTTAATGTGTCCAAACTTTGTTTTCACTCAAGTTAAAGATTTATAAAATCCATTATAATATGTTAATCAATGTCACATTTTAAATAATCCTGGTTTGACGCTTGGGATTAATGCTTAGTTTGATTTACATAAATCTCCTTATTTCTCTAAAGCTTCCTTTCCTTTTCTTTCTTCCTTTCTTTTTAAACAGCTATCTCATATACGTTCAATATTGAATAAGTCTATGCAGAGTAAAACATCAGATCTCCATAAGATTGATAAATTAGCCCATTTTAATACAAATTAATTATCTGTATGTTTATTAATTGCTCCAAAATACTTTGCCTTTCCCAGTGTGCTCTTTCTTTATAGG
This sequence comes from Homo sapiens, assembly GCF_000001405.40. Taxonomy (NCBI): domain Eukaryota; kingdom Metazoa; phylum Chordata; class Mammalia; order Primates; family Hominidae; genus Homo; species Homo sapiens. The sequence goes on along the minus strand of NC_000011.10, from coordinate 39,587,448 downwards.
CTCAGGAAATTACATGAAATAATGTAAGCTCCAAAGCAAAACAACTTGCAGAGGTGTAAATTTCTGTTTAATAAGATTATGTCCTTTTGGAGGAGTGAACTAGCAATAATCTCTGGTTTACAAATTGAATCAAGAAACTTTCTTGGGTGAGAAATAGAGGAGTGGAAGGTCACAAAACTGTTTTTTATCAAGACTTTTGGTTTCTGTTGCTCATCCTTGTACTGTTATATCTAACCCTAAATTTAATAAAAGTCATATGTATGACATGTGGCATATTAATAGATATAAACTTTTCTTAGTTTTCATCCAAACCTCTATGATCTCTGAGGTAAGCATGTGTTTGCTATACAGATGTCCAAATTTTGACCACACTCCACCACCTCACAAGATCTTCTAATTCATACAACTGAATTTCTTTTCCTACACCCTAAGCAACACATTCCCTGACAAGATTGGAGCTTTTTACTGAATTCAACTGACATAGCTAGTAAACCTCCTGTATTACTGCTATAATATTATATTTGTCTTTCTTTTTAAATTAACTGCAGACATGAAGTAAATAATCAGGCATAATATTTATACAATCCCCTGTCAATTCAAGTATTACTTACATATTAGACTCCAAAAGCTGAAATGGGTAGAGGCATCAGGTTGTGTATTTATATGCTTTTGTTTGTTTTGTCCTGTTTTGTTGTTGTTGTTACAATGGAATTATTAGTCTAACCGCAAGTAAAATTCCTCATCAACATAGTTTTTAAGAAGTTTTATTTTTAATATTTTCCCAGTGTTTTAGATGACTGCAGTAAGAAGGTGTTCCGGAATGTCTAGTCTGCCATATCACTGGAAACAGAAGGCCGTCTCATTCTCTCTGATGTCATGATTATCTGTGTTCTTGCTCACACCAGACCTTCAATAAATGACCAAATCACACCTAGGAGAGTGTCTAGACATTGGTGCCTTAGAAGTCATAATAGACTGAATATCTACCTTCTTTGAATTCCTGTATATTATTTTGCAAGGGACAAACCACTACTAATATCCTTTACCCCTAGGAAAACTAACCCAAGTAATGGCTTGAACTTAGAGATGGCTTATACATGTTTCCAAAATTAACTCCCATGTAATTTTCCAAAGGTAAAAACAAAGTATTATCCAGTGAGCTAAATTCTCAGCAGGGGAACAAATTTTTAAGCTGGTTGCCATGGTAATTCCTGTATGCAATTCCCACTCAACTTAGCTTGATGGCATTTGGGCTGAGTAATGAAATGGAAGGAAAATACTGATGATTTTACTTGCCTTGAAAATACCCACAATTAGAAGTGTATGTATTTTACTCCTTCCATTTACCCTCCCGTCTTTTTTTTTTAATTTCCCTAAAAACTACTGCTTTCACAGCTATCATAACAATTTTATTGAATGTACACACAAATACCTTTGCATCAAAATTAATAGGTCAGATAATTCTACTGACAGGGTTAAATTTCTGGACACTATGGTCCACACCTAGTGTGTTGGCAACATCTTTCCACTCTGAGCTAATTATGGTCAATGGGAGTATAGAAAGGGTATATTTCATCTCCTTATTAAATTATTTACCTAATCTTCTCAAGCTTAAGTGTTTAGGTTTACAATACTTACAATGGTTACTATTGTCATTTTTCTCCAGAGAATCAGCATGACTGCATGACCTATGAACATATATGTATTTGCATGGCTTTATACCCTTGAGAGGTGACGTACTGACATATATATATAATATAATTATATTATATTATATATAATATTATATATAATATATACATATAATATATATTATATATATATGAGACATATATATAAGAAAAATGTGCCACACATGGTTAGGATATGTATGAAAATATGAGAAAAACAAATGACCACCCAAATACACCTCAAAGGACACTGAAACAAAAATTTAGGCTATCATTTGTGTGTGGCCTTTGGCTAGCTCTTAACCTTCTAACACACATTATTTTCCAAAATAGAAAAGTAATAATTTCACTAATGCTTTGTGATGTTGGTTTAAGAATCAATTGAAACATGAATATAAAAGGTAAAAACAAGGCTAGGCACAGTGGTTCACGCTTGTAATCCCAGCACTTTGGGAGGCTGTGGCGAGAGGATCACTTGAGCTCAGGTGTTTGAGACCAGCCTGGGCAACATAGTGAGACCTCATCTCTATAAAAAAATAAAATAAAATAAAGGTAAAAACAGGCCAAGCGTGGTGCCTCACACCCGTAATCCCAGCACTTTGGGAGGCCTAGGTGGGAGGATTTCTTGAGCCCAAGAGTTAAAGACCAACCCTGGAAATCAAAAAAAGGAAAAATTAGCTCGGCATGGTAGTATATGGCTGAGGTGCAAGGATTACTTGAGCCTGGGAGGTGGAGGCTGAAGTGAGCTGTGATTGCACCACTGCATGCCAGCCTGAGTGACAGAGCAAGACCTTGTCTCCTCCCGACACCCTCCCCCCGCAAAAAAAAAAAAAGATAAAACACATAGCAAATGCATTTTCTTATAATTATAGATGACTAGTCTGATGAGCACAATTATATTTTTTGCAGTTCCTAACATTCAAATTACTAAGCACTCTTTGTGGAGAATTCTTTGTGTAATTGAGTATGTAGGTGAGAAAGAAGGACTGTGCCAATGCAACATACAGGATACACAGAGAAAAACGATCCTCATTAAGACTGTGTTCTGAGAGGGTGCTACTTATCGGGTTCACACCTTAAGCATGATGTCTTCACCAAAATCGTCAGTTTGGATTCATCCATTGCATTCAGCTATATTTTACTGACTAGCGGGTTTCTTTGATTTACACCTATATAAGGTAACTGAAAGCTTAACTGATGGCAAGTAAATCCATACCGAGGTATGAGGACCACAGAAATGTAATTCTAGAATTGATTATACATATATTTAACTATTTATAAATACTAAACAACTGTTAATATAAAGTTCTAGTCCCTTTCCTTTAATGAGCCAATAAGAATATAACCGACGTTGTTAAAGGGAATTTTTTGTTGTTGTTATGTGATGTTTTTCTGGCTCAGTATTCATATTTTCCAGATTCCACTAATTTGCTCTGCATATTGTTTTTGTAGCATTTAGTCCACAATGGAAGTGTTTGTTCCTTTTTGTCAGGGCACTAATTCTATTTGAGGAAGGCTCTGACTCTTTTATTTACTGTGAATTTATATGAAGATCTTCCTTCTTCAATATGTTTCATAAAATATCTACTGGTTATTTGCTAAATCTGGAAAGACGTTTTTCTCTTCTTTCAGTGCTATGTGCTTTAGCTTCATTCCATTTTTGTGCTATGTTGAAATACAGTATATTCTGTTCCTTGTGTACAGGAAAGTCACCTGCTTATTTGAGTATAAGATGAAAAACTGTTCCTTGCATATTTTAGAGCCAAAGTATTTTTTCCTGATACCAATGTCTTGAATTGATTTTCAGTTTAGTCTTTTATTTCCGCCATGGTATAAGCTACATGAACTCCTAGAAGTGTGTGAAGAAATAAAAAGATCCACTATTCAGGGGCTGGGAGTGATGGTGCATGCCTGTAATCTCAGCACTTTGGAAGGTTGAGGCAGGAGAATCACTTGAGGCCAGGAGTTCCAGACCAGCCTAGGCAGCAAAGTAACACCATCTCTCAAAAAAAAAAAAAAAAAAAAATTAGTTGAGTGTGGTGACACACGTATGTAGTACTAGTTATTCAGCAGGCCGAGATGGGAGGATCGATTGAGCTCAGGAGACCAAGGCTGTAGTAGGCCATGATCACGCCACAGCACTCCAGCCTGGACCTGGGAAACAGAGTGAGACGTTGTTGGAAAAAAAAGAAAAAAGAAAAGAAAAAGACCCATGATTCAGATGGTAAATTAAAGAGTGATGGATAAGTATAGGTGTCTGTCTCAGCATTCTTTTCTCACCCCACTCCATTTTAAAACTTAATTTTACTTTCCACATTTGGCTCTCCTATTTCCCTATTACTTCTTCCTCCTTAGCAACTCCCAGAGTTATAACTAATACACCAAAGTAAACTATGGTTCATTCACTTCCATTGCTGACTTCAATTTTTTTTTTTCTTTTTTTTTGTAGAGATGGAGTCTCGCTCTGTCACCCAGGCTGGAGTGCAGTGGTGCGATCTCAGATCACTGTAAACCTCCGCTGACCGGGTTCAAGCGGTTCTCTTGCCTCAACCTCCCGAGTAGGTGAGACTACAGGCGCACGCCACCATGTCCAGCTAATTTTTTTGTATTTTTAGTAGAGACGGGGTTGAGCCATGTTGGCCAGGCTCTTCTTGAACTCCTGACCTCAGGTGATCCTCCCGCCTCAGCCTCCTAAAGTGCTGGGATTACAGGCATGAGCCACTGCACCTGGCCTCAGTTTTTCAGTTCAAGTGAAAGTCCATTGGATGTGTCCACAGAACGGTCTGCTAAAAGTTTTAATCACACATACTCAATATATGCTTCCCCCCATATATATCTCTAATTTGGGGTTCCCTATTTTGTCTACCATCAGTTAGCTTCTTAGTAACTGAAGTTCTAGGTCTCAATCAACTTTGATTTTCTTTATGTTATTATGTATTTGCTATACAGTTCATTGTTAGAACATTTCTTATATCTAGTCCCTTCTTGCATTTCATTGCTACGACCATCTTCCAAATCCTTGTAATATTTTCTTAGACTTTTTCATTTCTTAGTAACCTGTTACCTTGCTTCTGGAATGCATCTATTTTATCTCACGTAAAATGTTTCTGTTAAATTAAATTCTCCAAAATACTATAATAATTTGTTTTACTTTTTTTGAAAAATAATAAGTGGTTTACCATTACCTATACCAAAAGCCAGCAGGCAGTCTCTGTAAAGGACCAGGTGGTAAATATTGTATTTTTCTGATATATACTGCCTCTGTTACAGCTGGTCAAATACACCACTGCAGTGAAAAGCTATAAACAATATCTAAACTAATGGGTGTGGGTTATATTCCAGCAAAACCTTATTTACAGGCAGAGTTAATCTGTAGGCCCTAGTTTGCTCACCAGTAGTGTAGAATTGCTTTTCATATTTGGCTCCTCTTATACCCAGTAAATCTAGGGATCTGTTTTAAGAAAGACTGGTCTGAAGATTAAAGTCTGACTTTTTATTCTGCTTTTCAACAGCTTTCATGTTCTTCCTATGTAAGCTTTCTAGATACCTCCTTTTCAGGCCTGGTACGCCTATCTGACCAGGTAACCTCTTTCCTCTGTCCTTATTATCTCTATAATCTCCTTTTCGCTGTCTTTAAGTATATCTTTTGCTTCCATGCATAAGTCCTCTCTGATTTCTCCAACTATAGGTAGATTCACTACTCCTGAAGTCCATGGACTCTATTTGTATTTTTTTAACACATTATGATACAGTCATGTATTATCATAACTCATCTTCTCAATTAGACTGTAGGGTCCTGAGAAAATGCAGAATGTGTAGATGTTGTATTTTTTTTTTAAGCTCCATAGTGCTTCTTGCAGACTAAGGACTTCTTAAATAGTTATTTTATAAGTGGATGTATTTTCTTTACCTGAGGCAGATGTGAAATTTCCCACAAATGGTGGGATTAAGATGAGAGCCAATTTCCACAGGGTCCTTATTGCTTTTTATCCAATCAATATTTATAAAATGCTCATTAGATGGTAGGCACCTTTGTAGACACGAGAGTTAACAGATATGAACAGACTGATGAGAGCCCTACTTTTAGAGATGACATTGTACTGACAAGGGGTTGGTGGAGAAGAGAAAATCATACAAACATATATAGTATCAGACAATCATATGTGCTATGATGGGAAAAAAAGTTGATGCTATGCTACAGAGAGCAACTAGGTAGAGTATCTACCTTTAGATTGGTTGAGTGTGGAAAGCTTCTCTGAGGATATGGCAGCTAAGTTGAAACTCATAAAATAAGAAGGAATGATATATTCAAAGTTTTGTAAAAAGAGGAGCCTATGAAGAAACAGGTAAAAATAAGCATAATATGTTTGAAACAAAGAAAGACCAGTGTATCTGGTGGTAATCTCTAACCTTCATTTATGTTAAGGAAAAAAAATCACACACACGCACATCCACACACAGGCGCGCACACACACACACACTATATATATAATTATGCATATTTATATATATATATCCTGGAAAGGAAGAGATGTTACTGGGATTTTAATATCACAAACAGAATGTGCAAGGTAGAGAGTGTACAACAAGTATGGGCTGGTAGTAGGCTGGGCGCGGTGGCACAAGCCTGTAATCCCAGCACTTTGGGAGGCCGAGGTGGGCGGATCAGAAGATCAGGAGATCGAGACCATCCTGGCTAACACGGTGAAACCCCGTCTCCACTAAAAAATACAAAAAAATTAGCCGGGCGTGGTAGCAGGCACCTGTAGTCCCAGCTACTCAGGAGGCTGAGGCAGGAGAATGGTGTGAACCCAGGAGGCGGAGCTTGCAGTGAGCATAGATCGCCCACTGCACTCCAGCCTGGGTGACAGAGTGGGACTTCGTCTCAAAAAAAAAAAAAAAAAAAAAAAGGTATGGGCCGGTAGTCTAGTACAATATCAAGTTGAAAATAATACAGAAGAGAAGGCAATTTTTCTTCTATAGATAGTTGGTAAATAATAACACTACTAAGAATTTTAGGGGAAGACCTTGATCTGGGAGTCAAATGGCTTTAACTATAAGGAGAAGTGTAATAGACAGGTGGAATTAGAAAGTGACATTGTCATGGGGCACATAGTTTTCTAAAGAAGTGCATTTTTTCTGAACAGGCACTTAGATTATTAGTATCAGATGTTAGTTCAAGAATAAGTCACTCCAGAGTGCCTCCTTATGTATTATACACACTAGGCCTGTTCCTTCAAATCTTTAGTAGGAGCCAAACCAACTCCTCTAGGGACTAGAGGACCTGCTAGTTTTGTTCTGTGTGTTTTCTTCTCCTCTTCATCTTTAATACTGATGATTCGGAGAGATCCTAAAAGCTATCAAAGTTCCCTGTTGGTGTTCAACACACATCAAATAATAATGAGAGGAGACTTGAAGGTGACATCCCTCTAATCCAGTTTACAGGGACAAGTTTGCTCTTGCAATAGCACACCATGAAACTTTAATAATTTAATAACTTTGCAAAAGAAATAATTTACCCATCTCTAGAGCTCTTTCCTTCTCTTTTCCTGACACCTCCTGTGATATTTTCCAAGAATGTGTGCATATTTTAAACTAAAGTGTGTTTTGAGACAACTCTACACAAAGAGTAGTGTGGGTGTTTGCTATGATTCTCTGCAGTGGGGTGACTTCTGAGAAAGAAATGCGAGGGCAAACATCTTGGTAACCTTTCTTCTCCCAGGAATATACATGTTTCTTGCTGCTCTTGAGGTCTACACAAAAAAAAATAAGGATAATAATGAATTTTACTATTATGACTAAGTGGATTAAAGGGAAAGGGAATTATTACTAATGCCTCCTACAGGAAAACAGATTTTGTCACAATATTACAACCTCAACTACTCTGGACTTAGGAGGCCTGGTTATCTCGGTAGTGAAGAGCATACTTTTCTTGCAATGAAAGTCTATGCATATATAAGGTGGTAGAGCCAAAAAAAAAATCATTTCTGTGTACTTGCTCATGTGGAGCATATTCACTAATATTTTTTTCTGCTTGGTTAAAGACATTAAACTTCATAAATATAAAAAGTTGTTTACTAAAAATTTTGTTGGCAAGGTGTGGTGGCTCATGCCTGTAATCCCAACACTTTGGGAGGCTGAGGCGGGCAGATCACTAGGTCACGAGTTCAAGATCAGCCTGGCCAACATGGTGAAACCCCGTCTCTACTAAAAATACAAAAATTAGCTGTGTATGTGTGTGCACCTGTAATCCAGTTACTCGGGAGGCTGAGGCAGGAGAATCGCTTGAACCCAGGAGGCAGAGGTTGCAGTGAGCCGAGATTGTGCCACTGCACTCCAGCCTGGGCGACAGAGTGAGACTCAGTCTCAAAACAAACAAACAAACAAAAAACAAATTTGTTATACTATTATAAGGTCATGAAAGCTGAAATATGTGTTTAGGAAGAGGTCTTTGTATATTCCATAAAGAGAAATTAATGCCTTAGCTCTTTTCGATGGGACACCCATGATTAGACATGGCTATAGGTAAATAAATACACATGTATACATGAATTTTATTATACGTCAGTGTTCTATAGTAACAGCAATAAAAGAAATGGAGAAAAATTTAGTCTATTTGTTTTTTTTCTTAGTCAACATTTACTAAGCATTTTAAAGTGAGGAATACTATATTAGATATTAAAGTATCAAAATAAAAATTTTCTGCATTGGCAGATCTCATAGTTTAGCAAAATAGAAAGTTTCATCAAAACTATATAGAAAAACAAAAGCTATAATGAATCTCTGAAGGAATACTAAACCTATTGCCACCTGAACCTACAGTTTTTTGCTTGTTCTTTGGTTGTTATGCTTTATGCTTTTTGTATCCTATTGAATAAATATTTGCCTAATCCGAAGTCGCAAGGATTTTCTTCTATTTTTTGTTCTAGATGTTACATGGTTTTAGCTCATAAATTTAAGTACACAATATACTTCATTTTTATACATATTTGTAGTGTGAGAAAAAAGTTTTTTTGGATATGGATATCCAATTTCAATACCATTTATTTAAAAGACTACCTTTTCCACATTAAATTATCTTGACACCTTTTGAAAACTCAATTGCCTGTATATTTAGGGACCTCAGAGATTTTTAATACTTCTATATGTGGCAATATCTAGTCTTTTTCACTGAGCCATACAAGTTTCTATTTTATCTGCCTGCCTATGCCCTGGATGGTATTTTTCTCATTTGAGATATGTAATGAAGGTTTTTTTTTTTTTGCCCTATTTTTTAATACCTGAGACATGCAGAAGGACTTTATACTTGTGCCACGTAAATTATTTATTTGGTCACAGTGGGAAGAAGGTTGGGGACAAAGCAGGTAATTATGCTTTTAAAAAATGATTGATTGACTCTATCACGATAATATCTATCTTGAATTTCTAAGGTTAGAAGACTTTAAATTATGTTTGATCACCCAGCAAATTTTCAGTTGTTCATCGTCATGGGATGCTGATGATGCTAGGTGGCCATCTGGCTTATTTCCAATGCCAGAAAGCAAGCACTTGACAGGGTTGAAGCCATGTACATTTCAGTTATGTTTAGAGGCAAACTGGACATTTCCTTCTCAGTTTGAAGCCATGACTTATATAGTTTAGCTTCAGAACTCAGACTGAGAAAATAAGGAAATGTTTAATATTTTTATATCAACTTTGACTTATCAGCCGAGGTACTTAAATCACTTTAGAGCTTACAGACTGAAATGTAAAAAGAATTGGGGTCTGCATTTTGCCTTTATTTCCCTAAATTTTTAAAGTCAGCTCCTTCAAAATTTGCATATGCATGGTATCAATTTCACATATGAATGCAAATTAAAATAAGTCCTATTATTTAAATATGTTCTATTCAGTAAGTCTTATTATCTAGAGGCATTCTGTTTGTATCTACTTTTATTAAGGTCTTATTTTTAAAAAAGAAATTCTCACAAAAGAGCTATGCAATTCTAAGTCAACTCAATTTTAATTTGGCCGAAAAGTATTTGTGAAGCCTTAATGATTCTTTTTTTTTTTTCAGACAAGGTCTCACTCTGGCACCCAGGCTGGAATGCAGTGGCATGATCATGGCTCACTGAAGCCTTGACCTCTTGGGTTCCAGCGATCCTGCTGCCTCAGTGTCCTGGAGTAGCTGGGACTACAGGTGTGTACCACCACACCCGTCTAATTTTTGCATTTTTTGTAGAGACATGGTTTCACCATGATGCTCAGGCTGTTCACAAACTCCTGGGCTCAAACAATCCACCAACCTCAGCCTCCCAAAGTGCTAGGGTTACAGGCCTGAGCCAGCACACCAGGCCAGGCCAGACCCTAATGATTCTATTGAAAATGTTGACATACTAGCATTTTACTTTATATACTAAAGCAGCCCCAGGGCCATCTTAAAAACTCAGAAAGGGACTGTATTTGTTTTTCCCTTTCTGAGTATTTTCACTGTATTTTCTACTCTAGAAAACCTAGATGTTCTTCTGCTCATAGAACTCTAGGTGCTATCCACTATCAATGAAGTAAAACCTAAACTTCTGGGCTTGTCATTCAGGTCTCTTAATGATTTTACTACGCCATGTCATCCAATCATCCTATTCTCTAAATTCAACCTTTACTTATCTCGCATACCAAAAGCAACAGTGTGCTAGGATCATATTACAGCCAGATGTTTCTTTAATTTTGTACCTTCCTTTGTCTAGTAATACCTTTCTTGCATTGGCTCTATGTGTCTAAATTCTAAAAGACTAAATTTTAGAGGAGTAAGCTCAAGTGGCAGTTGATCCAAGAATGATTGTTTCATTAATTTTAACAGCTAGTAGTCCACTTTCCTTATAGTATTTATTTTATTAATATTTGACATAGTCATATAATTTTCTTCAGATACCTGAGAGCATGGTCCATAACTCATTCAGCTGAGAAACTGTAACTATCTCAGGACAGATCACAGTACCTAGCTCAGGGGCTTGGTTATAGTGGGCATTCATTGCAAGTTTGGTTAGATAATAAAATAAACAAATTATTTGTTTTAGATATTTACACTTGAAAAATCCACACTAGAAATGTTTTAGATACTTCTTCAAACCTAACTCGTAAATCTTTTCCATTCTAGACATCAATCACTCTGAAACTGACAGTCTCCCATTTTAATAACTCAGTAGTAACTTCCTCTAAATAAAATGTATGCATTAATCAGCATCTGATAGAAATAATACCTGGCATGGCTTTGTGAATGATTCAGTTTCAGTGTTTCAGTTTCAACACTCTAGAGTCTTTCTACAGTAAAAATTACTCTTGTAAACACTTCACTGGGTCATGGTTGGTAACAGCATTTCCAATCAAGTTCTCCTTTCACTAAAATATGTAAACCTAAACTTACGTTATTCTCCCTTCCCAACACCAATGTTAGAATCAAATACAAAGTTACAGCTATACTTCAAATGGTATTTTTGTATTGTTGTCTTCAAAAAAGGTATAAGATTCTAAAATTATATTTTTGCTGTTCTTATAGACAGAACCTCAGTAATTATCAAACAGCCGAGAGAGATTGATAGCATACATGCCAATTATTGTCAAGTTATCCATGTGCAATGTGTTTCAATAACTGGAATGAAGAGTTTCATTTGGATTGTTTGTATGATTATTTGCAGCAATTTCTGGGCATTTAGGGAAAATATACATTGTAGTCTAAGAAGTTTTTGTACAAGTATTATTGGAATCAGTTACTGGAGAATTTAACATTGAATACTGAACAAACATAGAAAATTAGAATAGTGGTGAATTTAAGTATATTGCTAGAATTGAAGAGAAGTCCTTTATCACAGAAAATGTATCATAAACATAAAAAGTGGAAATGACAGATTTATGGATAGTCATAAGTGATAATGTTTTCATCATGAAAAAACCTGTGGTTTGGATTGTAAAAAATAACTTTCTTTTTTGGAGATAAGCAAATCTTACTATTGTGAGATTATTGATGATTAATAATTATTTTTGATAATTATTTTTTAAAATAAATATAGATGTTTATAACCCCAAACCTTCTAACATTCAATCAAAAATACTCTCCATGAGAAGAAGGGAAGGACTGAGAAGGAGGGATTAGAGTTTATTAGTGAAGTACTAAACAAATAAGATGATTTTTGTAATAAGGAAATGGAACAACCTGAATGTTCCATTTCCTTATTACAAACATCCTGAAATGGACCCCTGAACTTTACTTGTGTCTTGTAAGACATGAACACCAATGCACTGCAGAGAATAAAGAAGTCAAAAGATGTTCAAGGTAACTGTTTTGTTTTTCTACCAGATCTACAGTCCCTGGATCTAGGCTTATTGACAAAAATTTCAGAATATGGAGGTTACCTAATGGGTGACACAAAGAGTTAGAGGTCGTTCCTGATATTTATATATAGCTAAATAACAACTAATGAATATTATTGTTTCTTGCTTGGCTGTGTAGTTGTCAATAATCCCTAAAGAGAGTCTCTACCTTGATCAGACTGACATAAAAATTGTACTGATTAATTTAAACCAAAAACATTGTTTCCCAGCCACATAATTCTCCTTTATATTCTTACATAAAGGTATTTACGTGAAATATTGTATTCTATACGTGAGAATTTAGATAGTCTATCCTCTAATAAAAAGTCATTTTGAGTAACAACATAGAATTAACTAAGGGAATTTGAGTTTAAAAATTTGAAACTTTTACTAATCCTGTAAATGAGATACTACACAATCAAGAAGATTTAAGAAAATAGTGACATACATATATATATATGTTACATATATATATATGTAACATATATATATATACACACACACATATATATATATATATATATATCTCCCTTTGGCACTTACCTTGAAGAGTTTTAATATAAGATGCTACATAGAAATGTTTTAATATATCCAGTATTTTTAATTTATGAAATATAAGTTATTTATATACTGTTCATTAATCTTTATTTTACTTCTGAAAAAACAAAATATGCACTCTTAAGGGCTTTCAAATATTCTATGATAAGCTCACCTTCTAACATGAATGTTTTCCATAAACTGTTCATTTCTATCACTACTGAAACTTCTCCCATAGAAAATTTTCTGGAACTTTGATTATTGGTTTTAAAGATGATTTTATAATATCATATACCTCTGGATTTGAGATAAATAATTTTCATCTGTACTAAATCTAAGTATACTGAGTTTGGACATTTTCATCCTCTATTTGGGATTTTCCTCTGGCAATTTATATTTCTATATACTCTTATTTCCTTTCCAATGGGTCAGAATAAAGAAATTTCCTAGGCAGGCTTAAAAATGTTCTTTTAGCCATTTCATCAGATACACAGTATAAAATAATGCAAATGAGTGTACCACGTAATAATAATAACTTAAAAATATTTACCTTTTATTGAGTGTACGCCATAGGCTAGATACAATACTAGCTATATTTTTATGTTTGATTATTTAATCCTTACGAAACACTGTGAAATAGATATCAGCATTCCCACGTTGTTGACTGAAATAATCAACTGATGTTCAAAGTGTTTAAGCATAGTGTTGGTAAACAGTAGATTCTCAATAGCTATCATTATCTACATGAACAATATGAATTATGGGATGGATATATAAATGAGTGAAGAAATAAATAAATAATGAAAGGATGAATCAATTTGTAAGCTTACTTATGATGACCCAGTTAGTATAAATGGAATTAAGGATTTGGACCTAATCTGTGTGAATATAGAGATGATGGTCTTTCTTCAAAATATATTTCCTGAATCTCAGCTCTTATCCTATAGTCAGAGTTGATTGAAACAGTAGAGTGTTGTAATTAAGAGCATAAATACTGACTGACCTTTCAATTTAAAAACGGCTTTATCACTGTGCGACCTTGAGTGAGTAATTAATCTGTTCTGAGTTTTTTATGTTGTGGGCAATGCTGTAGGGTTTGTGGAAGAATTTAATGAAGTCATGTAAGTAAATCAGTCCAAAACAATTGTTATTATGTTAATGACTTTGATATAGATTACATGTTTTCCCAGAGCACCAGATCCTCAACTTTAATCCAGTAGAAGTTCTAAAATTTCCAAATCCTCTAGAGATGTATATAAACTCCAGATTATCCTGGCTGCAGAAGGCAAGAGTTGTATTTGTGTAGTTTCTAACTTTCTACAGTAACACTAGGGACCACCTGGGTGAACCAGCAAGCACTTGCATTTTATGGCTTATTTCAGTAGACTAAATTAGAGCTAATGCCTAGATGCAAAAATTCCCAAAGGACTTTTGTTCATTCTCTTAATTTTATAGATTAGATACTATGACAAGGGCAGAACGAAACAAAAAGCAAATGAAGAATTCTATTTTTATACCCAGAAAAATATGTTTTTATCCTTCCCCATTCCATGCACATGCAGAAACACTCACACATACTCACTTTTGCAACTCCAGTGACAGCCATCTCTATGGTTACTCTACTTTCTAAGTCTCACATTGTTCTTCACACCTTCCCATAAAGAGAACTATTTTGTCTACAATAGTTCAAAATCTTATCTCAGTAAACTTAAATTAACCAGTCCATTCTAGTTACTTCAAATCATTATCTCTCCTCCTCTTTCACTTATCTTACTATCCATTCTTGGTCAAGAATTCCAGAAAATGAAAAACAACCTTACTTCTTCCTTAACATTCTCGATTTACTTGACACTCTGTTGCTTTCTTTACAATGCTTTGATCTTAAGCCCTGAGTGTTACTGAGGAAATTCATGCTATTACACTTCAGTAGGCTTTCATTATTGTTCATTAAAAAATATAGTTGTTCTAGAAATGACTAGCATATTTTTAAGAGTGATTCTTCCAAGCTTATTCTGCTTTTAAAAACTCGCTGCCCTTAGAATCCTAACGGTCTTTATTATTTTTATTATGCAATGGTTTGTTTTTTAAAAACTTAATATGAAATACATGCTTAAACACTGCTTCTCTGAGATAAACATAATAAACTACCCATGCTTCCCCCCATCTCATATTCTCTCTTACAATGAGTTGGATTAAGGAATAAATCAAACAAACAGAGGAAATCCATTTTTCAAATGTGCCAAAGCAGGGGTTAGGGCTGGTGGGATCCAATTATGAGCAAGCAGTCTTTTGTTTCTAATGACTGCTATAGAAGAAAGATATTAAAGAAAGAACTAAATCCTGATCACAGAAGTGATCTGCCTTCACTAGTGTGTGGCTTGCTGAAATAGTGCTTGAAACCTGATCAGTTTTAGCATGCTCTAGAAGGAGAACCTGCAGCATGTATCCAGAAAGAGTCAGTCTAAAACTTAAGGGACTACAGTGACTTGTCACAATAATGATATTCATTTCTAGATGCATCTGTTTTGAGGGAAGAAACTAAGATTATAAGGATCTCTTGGTCCAAAGACTGACGAAAGGAGGAATCTAAACTTGTGTGTTTTTTTTCTTTTTGTTACAAATATAAAAGTTTTGGTTTTAAGAAGCTAACTATTCTAATCATTCACCATGGTGGAGGAAATGAACTGATTATAATACTAAAACTGATAATATTTTCTGTTGGTGGTGGTATCAAATTCAGAGTTTAAAGAATACTGAGTCCTAAAAAGGACAAGTGTGCATTGTGTAACCAAGACTAAATTAAAGCATATGGTCATAAGGGAAACGAGATGATAGAGGTAGCATAATGAGTGATTAAAGACTTGGATCTGAACTAGGATTAAATCTTGGAAACAGTAGTATGAGAAAGAATATTTTGTGGGATAGCCAGGCATGGTGGTGCACGCCTGTATTTCCAGCTACTCGGGAGGCTGGGGAAGGAAAATCGCTTGAATTCAGGAGGTGGAGGTTGCAGTGAGCCAAGATCGTGCCATTGCAATCTGCCTGGGTGACAAAGCAAGACTCTGTCTTTAAAAAAAAAAAAAACTATATATATATATGTCTTGTGTGGGAGTATTGAAATCTCTCAGGAAGTGGCCTGTATCAGATCTTGAATGAACCACAATTTGCCTAATCCAGGGATTCTCTTACTGACTCCCTTGATCAAGGTGGAACTATCTGAAATACTGCTATAAAAACCATTATAAAATTATTTTTATGTCTATGTCTATGTGTAAATTCTTCACTTTCCCTAAGGTAAATAATTTGTAATTATATGATTAGGCTATGAGTTTGTGCAACATAGACCAACTCTTTCACTTTTACTTTGATCAATTTTGTTTTTAGGTGATTTAGAAGCTACAGAGTTTCTGAGATGAATTTCTTCTACCTTTCTATCTCAGGACCTGTGAAAATTTTGTTATTTTTCCCTATTTCCAAGCTAACAAGTTAGCCTTACAGTATCATGGATGCTGGCAGGAGATGGGAAACTCCTGGATCAGAGACCATGAGCTTTATTACTCATAGTGAAGCAGGAAGCATGAGCTTCATGCTCAAATGAATTCCCTTTGGCCCTCAAGTCCCATGGGAATGATGTGGAGAGACTGAGATAAACATAATAAACATCCCCAGAGGGATGATGCATATAAAGTGGGTTATTGTCACAGCTGTGGAACACTGAAAAAAAAATAATCACCTAGAAAGAATATATATTAGCCCTTAACACAGTCTTGCTAAAGATTCTTCAATAATTAGGCTATTCTTTATTCCCTTCTCCCCACCTGTATGTCTAGCACACAGTGGATAATCAATAAATAATAGACACAAAAGTAACTTAAGAAAATAATGAAAAACCAGTGTGGATTAGAATTTTACATATGTACTGCTTTATTAAGGAAGTAATAAAATCTAATATGGTCTATAATACACTTACTTGTCCTTGTGGACCAGAGCAGGAAAAAAATTAAAATTAACCCAGAAAATTTACTTATCATATTTTATCTTTCAAGCACTAATTTCACATGTGAATTTCATTTTTTAGGAAAGTCCTCAGTAACCAGGAATGTTAGTTTCAGTTTCTGCTGTTGCCAGTAATCTCTGGCATTTTTGGCTTGCAACTGCATAACTTTAATCTTTGCTTCTGTCATCACATGGCATTCTACCACTGCCTTTATAACATTATCTTATAAAGGCAGCAGTCACATTGAATTAAACATGCTAGTCAGTGTCTGGGCTCTTATAAACTATCTCTGTTTTAGAAAACATAGCTGTCTTAATCCCTCTCTCTCTCTCTCTCTGTGTATATATATATATGTGTGTGTATCATATATATGTGGGATTCATATATATATATGAATCTATATATAGATATACATATATATATATGAATCTTTATCTATCTACATACACACACACACAGAATTGGAATTAGCTGCATTCTTCTGACTCAAGGATATAGAAATCTTAAGCTAGACTGATATGATTCTCCTGCAGCCTTCAGTTTTATTAGTCAAAGGCTACCAGAATACATTTTTTTCAAATTAAATTATCTACTTAAAAACAAATGTAATATGGATATATTTTGTGTTCATTATTGCTTTATAACCCACTTTGGGATTAATAAAGGATGGTAGAAACACAGTATTTACTTTTCCATTCTTTGTCATGTAGGATTTATGTATCTCAATTGCCAGGATTCAGAGAACTCAAGAATTCACTTATATGTGTTCATACAGGACTAATATAGGGCTAATCTTGAGGTTACAAGACCTCAGAAGACTCCTTTAGGAAACTAAATATGCTGGTGAGACTTCTAAAGAAAAGTGTGTTCTCTCCTCCTCCGCCTAATCCCAGGGAGTTCTCATTGTTTGGTGTAAGATCTTGGTTGTTATGGTGACTGTAGTAGGCTGAATTTGAAGTGAATTAGAGAAAAGATTTCATAGATGAAGAGAAGTCTTAGCTTATGCAACATTCAATGAGAACTGTAAGTGTATAAACTAGGCTTGGAAACACTCTAATGATTGTGTTCACCATGACAGTAGATTAGAACAAAACTGGTTTATTTGTTGCGATAACAAAGAAAGAAACCAAACTCTCCATGCCTTAGGGTAACATTATATATTTTTCCATATAATGTTTAGCTCTGGTTATTGTAGTTTCTTGAAGACACAGACATATAGAGGCTCCACCTACTTATTATATTGCTGTGTCTCCAGTAAGTTTCAGTATTTATAATGGTAGGGGAAAGCACATAGAGAAGCACAAACCAGATCTCACATAATTCACCTTAGAAATGGTACAAATTATTACTGCTAATATTTCATTGGCCAAAAAATTACATAATCAGGAAAATATAATCTCCTTATGGATCTGGCTAAAGAAAATAACTGAAAATAGTGGAGTACTATATACCTACTATAGTGTTATGAAAATAAACATGTTTGCTTTCAAGTTCCCCACCATATTACATACTTTCTCCTAGTTTTTTTATTTTATTTTATTTTTTTCAGACGGAATCTCGCTCTCTCTCCCAGGCTGGAGTGCAGTGGCATGATCTTGGCTCACTGCAACTTCCACCTCCAGGTTCACGCCATTCTCCTGCCTCAGCCTCCTGAGTAGCTGGGACTACAGGCGCCTGCCACCACACCCAGCTAATTTTTTGTATTTTTAGTAGAGACAGGGTTTCAGCGTGTTAGCCAAGATGGTCTCAATCTCCTGACCTCGTGATCCACCTGCCTCGGCCTCCCAAAGTGCTGGATTACAGGCGTGAGCCACTGCACCCAGCCAAGAGTGGTATCTTTTTTATTTATTTTTATTTATTTATTTTTGTACAGACAGGGTCTCACTCTGTTGTCCAAGAATTTCTTGGGACCTGACCTCATATCAAGAGAAGGCTTACTTTAATTTGATTTGATTCATCATTTTTTATCCTGCCTTTCTGTTTCTCTTGATTTTAGGAATGGCCCAAGTATTAGGAAACATCTTTGTCATGTTCCTAATTTTGAATGTAATTATTTTGATATTTCACAAATAATTACATTTACTGAGATATTAATCATGACTCTAGCTAGATTGTTTGAGGTTTTTTACATTTATTCCAATTATTTCTATGTATTATAAATTTTATTTCTACCAAACTATTTTGCACTTATTTTGTCCTATTTTCTTGCTTTTGGGGGTTGCTAATTAAGATGTTTCTTTTACTCCTTTGAGTGTTCCTCTTTCTACTCCAAACTTTGTGGCTGAAAAATCACAAATGTTTATTTGCTCAAAATTCTGTTGGTTGGTAATTCGGGCTGATCTCAGCTCCATGTGGTATCAGCTAAGCTCACTTCTATAAATTAGATTTTCTCTGTCATTTGCAAGCAATAATTTCTATCTTCTAGAAGAAAAGTGAGACTGCAATATTATAGTTGCAAGAGGATAAAATCCTATCCCAGATTAGTTTTTCAACCTGGTATAATAACTATGAAAACAGCAAAAATCTGTTATAAAATAATAGGCATGGGTTGGCTCTCAAATATAAATGTAGGCAGTTGTTTATTTAACTATTTTGTTGGATCAAAAGTTCCTAATAGTGTGCAGTACACTTCTTGTAACGTCTACTGCATTGTTCAGTAACTTTCATCAGTTTTTGAACAGTTGAATCTAACCACAGTCCAAGCCTATGTACTCCAAATTTTGCCTGACTGATCCACTTTTAAGATCCAGTCTCCATGAACACATTGCATCTAAAGCAGGCATCTCCTCTAAGTGAATTTAAGAAAACAAAAATATTTGAAGATGGACACTGTCTTAAAATAAATAAAACATGCTGGTGAAAATAGTAACTAAGGCAACAGCAGTAATGGTAGAACTGTTCAGTACAATCTGCAGATGGCCATCTTAAATAAATATTCCAATTATTCTGCAACTGATTTGGCTGGAGCACATCCAGTGCAAATTAGTTAACTGGTAAGAAGCTATTACACTGTTTCTGCCATAGTCCAGGATGTTGTTTTTGATTATATCAACTCAAATCTAACAACTCTCCCATATATATATATATGTGTATATATATATATATGTATATATATATATATATACATATATATATATATATACATATATATATATATATACATATATATATATATAAAATTCTGAATGGATTTATTACACATAGCACTTTACTGATATTCTTTGTGTATATGTTCTTCTTTCCATCCGGATTTTGATGTCTCTAAAGGCAAACAAACATTTTATTCAACCTTAATATCTTTGCAGATAATATCTGTTGGCAGAAAATTTATTGTAGGGAAAATCAAGAGATTAGGGATTAGATTTAATGTGGTCCCTGCTAAATAGCATGGGCATAGTCACCATATTTTTCACTGGGTCTTGGATTCTAATATAAAATTAGTATTAGTGATTTATAATTATTAGGAAACATTCCCAATAATTTTCATTTTATTATTTAAAAAGTCATTTCACTTCAACTGATGAATTAAATTATATAATGTATACCTTAGATGTTGTCAGTTACCAACTGGAATCTACTAAATATAACTCAGGGTTTTTAACTAATAGTAATATGTCCTGAATTGGTTCCTTCCCGTGGGTTCTTGGTCTCTGTGACTTCAAGACCCTCACGCTGAGTGTTACAGATCTTAAAGATGGTGTGTCCGGAGTTTGTTCCTTCAGATGTTGAGATGTGTGTGTCCAGGGTCTCTTCCTTCTGGTGGGTTCGTGATCTCGCTGACTTCAGGAGTGAAGCCACAGACCTTCACAGTGAGTGTTACAGCTCTTAAAGGTGGCACGTCCAGAGTTGCTTGTTCCTCCCGGTGGGTTCGTGGTCTCGCTGACTTCAGGAGTGAAGCAGCAGACCTTCGCAGTGAGTGTTACAGCTCATAAAGGTGGCATGTCCAGAGTTGTTTGTTCCTCCTAGTGGGTCGGTGGTCTCACTGACTTCAGGAATGAAGCCACAGACCCTCGTGGTGAGTGTTACAGCTCATAAAGGTAGTGTGGGCCCAAAGAGTGAGCAACAGAAAGATTTATTGTGAAGAGCGAAAGAACAAAGCTTACACAGCATAGAAGGGGACCTGAGTGGGTTGCCGCTGCTGGCTTGGGTGGCCAGCTTTGATTCCCTTATTGTCGCTGCCCAGGTCCTGCTGATTGGCCCATTTTACAGAGTACTGATTGGTCCATTTTACAGAGCGCTGATTGGTGCATTACAATCTTTTGGCTAGACACAGAGCACGGATTGGTGCATTTTTACAGAGTGCTGATTGGTGTGTTTACAATCCTTTAGCTAGACACAGAGCACTGATTGGTGCATTTTTACAGAGTGCTGATTGGTGTGTTTATAATCCTTTAGCTAGACACAGCGCGCTGATTGGTGCGTTTTTACAGAGTGCTGATTGGTGCATTTACAATCCTTTAGCTAGACACAGAGTGCTGATTGGTGCATTTTTGCAGAGAGCTGACTGGTGCATTTACAATCCTTTAGCTAGACCCAGAGTGCTGATTGGTGCGTTTTTACAGAGTGCTGATTGGCGCATTTACAATCCTTTAGTTAGACAGAGTGCTGATTGGTGCATTTACAATCCTCTAGCTAGACAGAAAAGTTCTCCAAGTCACCACTCAACCCAGGAAGTCCAGCTGGCTTCACCTCTCAATCCCCCCTCTAAACAGGACACCCAAACTGCTGTTGGGAATTGGGCAATGACCACTCTAGCTACTTCCTGCTGTATGGGGCAAAGAAGGGGCCCTGCAGTTGTAGTTCCATGTGTAAGACCATCTGTAGCTTCATGGCCTCAATCCTAGAGGAAACAAATTTGACAAGGAGGTTAAAAATATGGGGCCTGAAGGCGAGTAATAGCAAGATGGCTGTCATAGGACTTAGAAAGGGGAGAAGCCATGTCGCCCAACTCCAGAGGTTGGTATAAGAGTTTGAAAGGTGTTGTCTGATTTCAGAAGCCTTTTCCTGTAAATGCTGGGTAGCATCTCATACTATCCCTGACCAGTTAGTGTAAAAACAACACTCTTCCCCTAAGAAGGTGCAGAGTTGGCTGAGTCCAAACAACTTGAACGTTTGAGCAGACCAGTTATTAGGCAATTTTCCTAACTCTGCTTCTACAAGAGTTTCCTTATCACTTACTGAATACTCATTGTGTCTTTTTCTCTTAATTGCCTGGGAGGAAACATCTATCGTCCATCCTGCCCTGAAGGGAGTTCCTCCTGGGTCTGGTTGGACATTTGTATGGTAATTAATTAAGATTTAGATCCCTTGTTAGGAAACCTGCTGGGTTAAGGATTTTTGATAGGAAGGCTATGGGTTGTCATTGGCCTCAGTGCTTTTGGGCTATGCCCTTGTTTACACTGACAACAAGGTGGTATTGGAGTGTTATAGGTCAGGGAGAAGACCTTCAATTATAGGTTTAAATTTACCCTGGTTTTAAAGGAATAGGGTACACTGTTTTTTCCTTACCACTTCTATCTCTTTTTCTCTTTGACTTCTTCTTTGTCTCTCTCTTTCTGACTCCCTCTTTGTCTGTCTCTTCCTCTCTCTCTTTGACTTTGTGTCTCTCTTTCTCTCTCTCTCTGACTCCCTCTTTGTCCCTGTCTCTTCCTCTCTCTCTCTGACTCCCTCTTTGTCCCTGTCTCTTCCTCTCTCTCTCTCTCTCTCTCTCTCTGACTTTCTGTCTCTTTCTCTCTTTCCTTTCTGCTGGTCTTTCCCTGCCTCTGCCAGCTGCTGATGCTACTGTTCTCTCCTCTCCTTCCCCTTTTTGATGGCTTTGGCAGTGTAAGGCTGCCACCTCCTTGGGTTTTTGCACTGCGTGCAATAACTCCATGACTTCCTTGTGGTATTTAATGGAGGTTCCCCCAGAGATTAGGAACTCCCTTTATTTCCATATTGCAGCATAGGCATGTAGGATTAGATAAGCATACTTGCTATCTATATACACATTTATTCTTTTTCCGTTTCCCAGTTCTAAGGCTTGGGTAAGTGCCATTAGTTCTGCCAACTGGGTGCTGGTCCCTGGGGGAAGAGGCTTACTTTCAAGTACTGTTACTAACTATGGCATAAGCTGCCCTTCATATCCCATTCTCCACAAATGAACTTGCATTGGTATATAGGTTAAGCTCAGGACTAACTAAGGGGACTTCTAAGAGATCCTCTCAGGCGGCATAAGTCTGGACAATGATTTGTTGGCAGTCATGCTCGATTGGTTTCCCCATCCTCTGGGAGAAAAGTGACAGAGTTGAGGGCCACATACGTGCATATTTGAAGCACCAGTCCCCCAAGGAGTAGCGCCTGGTATCTAAGCAGGTGGTTGTCTGAGAGCCATAAACTTCCTTTGGCACCTAGTATGCCATTTACATCATAGGTAGTCCAGACAGTGAGATCCTTTCCTTGTATTATTTTGATAGCCCCTGACACGAAGATGGCCACCACTGCAACTACCCATAAACAGCGAGGCCAGCCTTTTGCTACTATATCAATTTCCTTACTTAGGTATGCCACTGGTTGTGGGGTTGTCCCAAGAGTCTGAGTAAGGACTCCAAGAGCTATTCCTGCTCTCTCTCTGACATACAAAGAGAAGACTTGTCCCGTGGGAAGGCTTAAGGCTGGAGCTTGAGTTTGTTCCTTCCAATGCCCAGACTTCAGGGTTGATACCCTCCTCAAGCAGGGGACAAAAAATGGGCAACTTGTTCCCCGTATTCATGTAGATAAGGGTATGGGACTTTCAGGAATAATAAGAAAGGCATGTGAAAAGAACAAAGTCTCCCAGTTACAACTGAGGAGGTGGGAGAAATACCTGGTTACAGGCAGTCCCACAATTCCTCAGATGGTAACAGACCTTGAGGACAGTCGTCCAGGACAGGAGATTAACACTGAGAAGGTCGCGCCAGTGTCCAGGAGGAAGTCAGTTTCCTGACCCTCAACGGTTATACATACCCAGGGCTCAGTGAGGTTTGTGACATGAGCTGGTGCTTGCCCCGGGCACCCTCAGTCCTGTTGTTGGATCATCTGGTTGGGGACTTCTGGCCCAGAGAAACTTTGTCCTCTGGGGCAGTGCATCTTCCAGCAATTGCCTTGGCATAGTGGACATGGGCAAGGGGGCAGCTTGTTTCTCATTGGACAATCTTTTTTAAAGTGTCCTTGCAAACCACACTGATAACAAGCCCTACCAGGTGATTGGCCTGCTCCATTTTCTGTCCTCTCTTAACCACCAAGGTTTGTTTGTCTGAGGGCCATGACTAAGGCTGCGGCCTTTCTCTGATCTCGCTTTTCCTTTTCGGCCTGTTCCTCTTGGTACCTATTATAGAATACCGAGGTTGCCAGGTTTAATAATGCCTCCAGATTTTGTTCAGGGCCCAGGACTCGCTTTTGGAGCTTTCTCCTGATATCTGTGGCTGATTGGGTAATAAACTTATCTTTTAGGATCAATTGACCCTCTACTGAGTTGGGTGACAGGGAAGTATATTTTCTTAAGGCCTTCCATAGCCGCTTGAGGAAGGCAGAAGGATTTTCTTCCTTTCCCTGAGTTATGGTGGACATCACTGAATAACTCATGGGCATTTTCCTGATTCTCCTTAGTCCTTCTAGAACACAGGTCAGCAGATGTTTATGACTCCAGTCCCCATGATCTGAGTCTGGATCCCAGTGGGGATCCATACTGGGGATGGCTTCCTGACCGGTAGGGAATTTGTCCCTTTCTTCAGCTGTCATTCTATCATTTACTTGACTAAGATACCAGGTATCTCCAAACTCTTGGGCTGCAGCTAAAGCCACATTCTTTTCATTAAAGGCCAGGGTTTGATCTAACAATAGCATGACGTCTCTCCAAGTGAGATCAAAGGTTTGGCCTAGACCCTGTAGGACATCTATATACCTATCAGGGTTATCTGAAAACTTCCCCAGTTCTGCCTTGATCTGCTTTAAATCAGAGAGGGAGAAGGGGACATGTTCCTCTCCCCCTACAGCTTGAAGGGGACATAATTGATAGCCCAGGGGTTTTTGTGGTCCTTTGGAGATTTCTTTGCTTGTTGCCTTCTGGGCAGGGGAGATTAGAGGAGTCTTATCATTAATAGGAAGGGGAGCTATAGGGAGGCTAGGATATGGGAGTAAGCTGAGAGGTCCTCCTGTGGGATATAAATTGCAAGCTTTGCATAGTTTTGTATTCTCCTTCAATGAAAAAAAAGCTTGGACATAAGGTATTTTACTCCATTTGCCTTCCCTCTTACAGAAAAGGTCAAGCTGCAGGATAATATTGTAATGTATACTTCCCTCAGGTGGCCATTTTTCCCCATCAGAGAGAACACTGGGGCCAGGCTGTAATGCAGGAAAAAATGAGCAGCCTCTTTTTCAGGGTTTGCAGGTCAAATCGGTCCCAATGGCTTAGGATGCATTTCAAGGGTTATCCTTTTGATGCCTGAGTGTTTCCCATCTGAAAGACAAAACCACCCATGGTTTTGGTTTGTTTGTTTCTCCCCCTGACCAAGAACCCACAACGGTCCCTGGACCCTGCTGATCAGAATAGTTGCACTCACTGACACAGCAGCAGAAACAAACACCTCCTGCCCAAGAACCTGCAATGGTCCCTGGACTCTGATGATGGGAATAGTAGCACTCACTGACACAGCAGCAGAAACACTAGTTTTCCTCCTAGACCACAAGGAGGACTGAGGAAGGTCAGATTTAGTGGCCCTTACTGACGCATTCTCGAAAACCTGTTAGAGTCCTAAGTGTTCTCCTGTTAGTATTGGGACCTTACCACTGTCCTATAAAGATGTTATGTCCCAAAAATGAAGTGGAGGGCTATACCCTGAGGGAGGGAAGTGATCTCCAGAGTTGGAAGAGTGATGCCTTTTGTCCTCACATATATGAATAGGAAAGATACCCTTTCTGAAGCTCCCCATATCCTAGCTTCAGGAATAGCTTTTGTTAGGCCTGCTAGTCTGAGGAGAGATCCTAAAATTCCAGATAGCCCCCCACCCCAATGGGGCTTTGGGCAAAAATTTTGTCTTTCTGATTGGTGAGCCTGGGTGCCTAAAGAAGGTAACAGAGTCCTGAAGTTTATACTATAAATCATTCTTATAGGAGAAACTAGAAAAGCACCAGAGACAGGGAGTGGATTTTAGAAGCAGGACTAGCCTTGGAGAAGAGAGGTGAGAGGAAGTTTGTCTGACAGGCGTTAGGACCCAGGAGGCAAGGGTCAGGATAGATAGGCTACATGGGCGAGTCTCTCTTGGGCGACATGACTTTGAGAGTTCCAATCATGGCCACAGGGTCAACCAACTTGCTGTTGGGACCCTGGAGCTGAATGGCTTTCCTCTCTGTCGACCCTCAGCTCAGCCCAGAAGTACAGGAAAAGCAGAAGCTGGTTCCAGGCAAAGCAACGCTCCCAACTCTGAAGAGTTGGGGGTTGTTAGAGAGCCCATTCCCAGAAAGTCTGACACCTGTGTCTTTAGTCCAGCGGCCATGCTATCTGCTTTTAACTGGCTGACAGGTGCCTGGTATTTAGCCCCTGAATTCTAAGGAAAAATAGGACAGAATAGCAAGGAAAAGGGGTCCGATGGTGCTCACCGCTTGATGATAGTCGATAGTCCCTTTGTGGTCACCAAAATGTGTCCAGAATTGGTTCCTTCCAGTTGGTTCTTGTTCTCCCTGACTTCAAGAATGAAGCCATGGACCCTCTTGGTGAGTGTTACAGCTCTTAAAGATGGTGTGTCTGGAGTTTCTTCCTTCAGATGTTCAGATGTGTCTGGAGTTTCTTCCTTCCAGTGAGTTTGTTTTCTTGCTGACTTCAGGAGTGAAGCTGCAGACCTTTGCAGTGAGTGTTACAGCTCTTAAAGGTGGCACCTCCAGAGTTGTTTGTTCCTCCCAGTGGGTTCATGGTCTCGCTGACTTCAGGAGTGAAACAGCAGACCTTCGCATTGAGTGTTACAGCTCTTAAAGGTGGCACGTCCAGATTTGTTTGTTCCTCCCAGTGGGTTGGTAGTCTCGCCGACTTCAGGAACGAAGCCGCAGACCCTTGCAGTGAGTGTTACAGCTCATAAAGGTAGTGCAGACCCAAAGAGTGAGCAGCAGCAAGATTTACTGTGAAGAGTGAAAGAACAAAGCTTACACAGCATGGAAGGGGACCCAAGCAGGTTGCTGCTGCTGGCTTGGGTGGCCAGCTTTTATTCCCTTATTTGGCACAGCTCATGTCCTGCTGATTGGTCCATTTTACAGAGTACTTATTGGTCCATTTTACAGAGCACTGATTGGTGCATTTACAAGCCTTTAGCTAGACACAGAGCACTGACTGGTGCGTTTTTACAGAGTGCTGAGTGACGCATTTACAATCCTTCCTTTAGCTAGACACAGAGCGCTGATTGGTGCATTTTTACAGAGCGCTGATTGGTGCATTTACAATCCTTTAGCTAGACACAGAGCACTGATTGGTGCGTTTTTACAGAATGCTGATTGGTGCGTTTACAATCCTTTAGCTAGACATAGAGTGCTGATTGGTGCGTTTTTACACAGTGTTGATTGTTGTGTTTACAATCCTTTAGCTAGACACAGAGTGCTGATTGGTGCATTTACAATCCTCTAGCTAGACAGAAAAGTTCTCCAAGTCCCCACTCGACCCAGGAAGTCCAGCTGGCTTCACCTCTCAGTAATAAGGATGTATGTCGAACTGAAGAGATAATGTAGTTTAGGGATTAAGAAACTATGTTCAAGAGCCAGACCGACTGTTTAGCAAATTAATGAACAATGTGTTGCCTCACTTTACTCATCTGTAAAAGGACAAAATAATATTTATTTCAGTCTTATTATGAAGATTAACCAAGAAAATATCACTAAAGTACTTCAGATGTGTCTGGAATATTAAAGGGCTCATTACCTAGTGTTATCATTTGCCACTGTATGTTGTTGTGATTTGGGAAGAATTTTGGATGCTTGCTTGGATACATTTTCATTTATCTCAACACCAGGAAGAACTAGCAGCCTGCATCATCATAAGCTGACTCACAAAGTAATTATTATTGAGAAAATTATGGACTATCTAAGGAGAAAACATCAAATACAGGGTATAGGGCCATATTTAAGATAAAATATTTCAGATGTGGGGTGCTTTTTTGTGTTGTGTTTTTATTAACTTTAAGATAAAATGCAATATTTTAGAAATGACATTATCCATGGGGAAGGGTTAAAATTTATTGTCATTAATAAGTTCTACAAAAGAACTATTTTAAATAATTTAGTAAAATTAAACTTCAATTTTTACTCAGTAAAAGCAACCTAACCTGGAAGATTCAAGATGAATTGTGTCATTCCTGAGTTTACGTGTTTGATTCTTGATTTTAATTGAGTCAATTCAGTGTTTGCTGCTTCCTTTTGACCTTTACTTCTAGACGAAATAAAAGTAGAGGAAGGCAATGCTTGTGTTGTCCATAAATTGGGGAAATGACATCCTGTATCACCTGGTGTCTCCTGTTCGTCCTGGAATCTTTTGAGATGTTACTCAGAAGGTTGTTACCATTGTTCAGTGTTGTCCTTGACTGATGTCTGTGGTCTAAGTGTCTTCTGCATTTCAGATGCACATATTCTTTATATCAGATATAAACTATATTTAAACACAGCTCCACGACTGGGGTAGAGGTGGGAAATAGGAGTAGAAGTACACATAGGACACTTTCTCAGAAATCCAGACAGTTTTTTATCTAATCACATGCCTACTATTTGTCACTGTAGCAAGCAGCAATGTAAGGTTTTTGAGTTGGAATTAGCTCTGTAACTCTTAACCTATAAATACTGGACACTTTTTTCTTCCTATAGATTCTGCAAAGTCTACTTAAGAGCTCAAAAGCCTGAAATTGAACTCTGTTATTTCTCTTTTTCATACTCTGAAACCTAGGCAGAAATAAAATAGTTCCTGCTGCTTAACTAATGATGGGAGATCTTAGAGTTAAAAAGAATTGTCAAAATAAGAAGTTTGATCTAAAACAATTACTGCCTACAATATCCATAACTGCAAAATATTAGGCAAAATATAAGTCTAGAAATGAAATATGTAGCTAAATTAAATTAACTGAGATTTTTGATGAAATTTCTAACCATGCAGTTGAAGAAAGCAGAAATCAGGTCAATTTCAGACAAAAGGGCAAAAGGCTAACGTCTATGTGCATTGGAGGTAATGGGGTCTGCTGGTCATCAGCAGATAGGTTTTTTGTTTTATTTTGTTTTGTTTTGCTTTTTTACTGTTCTGTTATTCTTGATTGTTTGAAAATACATTTATTACTTTTTTAAGATTTAGGGAAAAAAATTACCTTAACAAGCCAATAATTAAATTGCACCAACATTGCCATTTATCTGCTTTTTTCCCCCACCCACTTACTACTAAACCTGTAATATTAATTCAAAACTAGATCAACAGAGTCAGCACCATCATTTAATGCAGCTTTCCAGATGGTTTCCAAGATGTCTCTGGTTTGAATAGTTCTTCTCTTCTCCTCATTCTTTTAGGCCTAAAATTATCATCAGATTGATTATAATACCATCTATGTGATTGTTAGACATTTTGAAAAATATAACTATCCTGATAGTCTTTTCATTTTTCCTTTTAAGGAAAAAGGGGATAAAATGATCCCAGGAAGATTAAGCTTTGTTACTGTATTGTGAGGCCTAAAACTAAGGTTCAATATTTTATGTTGCTTTATCATCTGGAGAAATAAGGATGATCTCAAATTGCCCAACCTGAAAATCTCCTCTTCATTCCGTTCCTGTAAATGCTAGCCAAACAACCCTTTTTCTCAAGTGGAGGAGGTACAGTTCCTGCTCATCCCTGAAAGGGTTCCCTTCCAGCCTGCAAAATTATTCAACTATGACAGTCATACCCTCTCATAAAACCAGGGACACCTAAGTCTCTTAATCCTGTTTCCCACAGCCCACAGTTGCTCATTCTGTTCCCTAGTGCAAGCCTTATATATGCCTAGCCTGTGGTGTCCTCCTCCGCCTGGCTGTGAAAACGTGTGATCAGTAAACTTCTCTATATTAGTCTGTTTCACGCTGCTGATAAAGACATACCAGAGAATGGGAAGAAAAAGAGGTTTAATTGGACTTATATTTCCAAATGCCTGGGGAGGCCTCAGAATCATTGCAGGAGGTGAAAGGATCTTCTTACATGGTGGTGGCAAGAAAAAATGAGGAATATGCAAAAGCAGAAACCCCTGATAAAACCATCAGATCTTGTGGGACTTATTCACTACCATGAGAACCATATAGGGGAAACTACCCTCATGATTCAAATTATCTCCCACTGGGTACCCCCCCACAAAACATGGGAATTATGGGAGTACAATTCAAGATGAGATTTGGGTGGGGACACAGAGCCAAACCACATCAACTTCTGTGAATCTTTATCTGTCCACTGAGGTGTTGTTTGTTTTTCTATCTTCGTAAACCATAATACTCAAAAATCTATTGCTTCAGTGGCTCCAATTGGTCAAGGATTGTGCCAGGATTTTCGCTTATGTTAATATTTAATCATCCTAACAGCCCTCCAGTATTGCTGTTATCTTCATTTTACAAGTAAGGAAAACTCTCTGTGATTCAGAGAGATTAAGCAATTGCTCAGAGTTACAGAGAAAGTAATATTTGAACCCAGGTCTTATTCTAAATCTCACACTATTATCACCACCTACCATTGTTTTGTTAAAGGTAAATTTATTCTGTATAAATATACAAGACAACCTGCTATAACAATTTTTTTCAGGAAATAGGAAAATATCCTTAAAACGAACAAGCCACTGTTTCCCTAGTATCTCATTTTTCATTGACAGTGCTAAATAAAAAGCTCCCTAAATCACATATTAAGATTAATAATAAAAGTGGAATGAAGCTGGAACAATATTTGAAATGTGTGACATCCATTAGTGTGGTTGTTTTGTGCTAGAAAGGGTACAAAAATGGGCCTAAAACACTGGGACTTCACTTTTGGTCTTGGGCTTTCTTTCACCAAACTTCTTGAGCTTCTCTATAATAGACCTATTTAAGTTGTCCTCATTTATGTTCTTTTAAACATGACTAGTCGCTAGAAAGTCTGAGTGAATGCACCAGAGGATGGATCCTAAAGAGACTTGGGAGTCTCCCTGAGGTTTACAAACTAATTGGTCTAAAGGTCCAAGTACTTTCTCCTCTATAATTCTTCTGTTATTCATATAAATGCTATGAGCTCCTTCTATTCTATCAGTTTGAGTATTTGAAATAACTCATATTAATGGATTCATGCAGTATTTGTCCTTCTGTGACTGGTTCACTTCATTTAGCATAGTGTCCTCTAGGTTGATTCCTGTTGTCACAAATGAGAGGATTTTCCTCTTTTATAAGGTTGAATAATATTCCATTGTATTTACATACACCAGGTTTTCTTTCTCCCTTCATATGAAGATGGGCATTTGGGCTGTTTTCATATCTTGAATATTGTGAATAATGCTCAATGAACATAGGGGCAAATATCTCTTCAAGATCCTTATTCCCATTATTTTAGATTTGTACCCCAAAGTAGTATGGTTGGACCATATGATATTTCTATGTTCAATTATTTGAAGCACCTTCGTACTGTTTTCCATAGTGCCTACACCATTCTATATTCCCCTCAACAGTGTATATCAAGGTTTTGATTTCTCCACACCCTCACTGACACTTATTATCTCTTATCTTCTTGATAATAGTCACCCTAACAGGTAGGAGGTGATATCTCATTGTGGCTTTAATTCGCATTTCCCTGATGAATAATGATGTTGAACAGCCTCTCATATACTTGTTGGACATTTGTATGTCTGTCTTTTTTTTTTGAGACAGAGTTTCGCTCTTGTTGCCCAGGCTGGAGTGCAATGGCATGGTCTCCGCTCACTGCAACCTCCACCTCCCAGGTTCAAGTGATTCTCCTGCTTCAGCCTCAGGGTAGCTGGTATTACAGGCACCCGCCACCATGCCCAGCTAATTTTTGTATTTTTAGTAGAGACAGGGTTTCATCATGTTGGCCAGGCTTGTCTCAAACTCCTTACCTCAGGTGATCCTCCTGCCTTGGCCTCCCAAAGTGCTGGGATTACAGGCGTGAGCCACCGTGCCCAGCCTTGTCTGTCTTTTTTAGAGAAATTTCTATTCACATCCTTTGCCCCGTTTTTAAAAAAGCAGGGTTTCTTCGTTTCACTAGTGTTTGTTTTTTGCTATTGAGTTGTAAGAGTTTATTATATATTTTAAATAATAACCCCTTATCAAATAGATGGTTTGCAAATATGTTTTCCCATTCTTTAGACTGCTTTTTCAATGTATTGATTGTTTGCTATGCAGGAGCTTTTCAGTTGGGTGTAGTCGTACTTGTCTATTTTTCGTTTTGTTGCCTGTGCCTTTGGTGTAAAATCCAAGAAATCATTGCCAAGACCAATGTCAACAAGCTTTCCCACTTATATGAGGTACTTAAAATAGTCAAACTCATAGAGGGAGTGAATAAAATAGTGGTTGCCAAGAACTGGGGAGAGAAGAAAATAGGAAATCGCTACCTAATGGGTATAAAGTTTCAGTTATGCAAGATGAATAAGTTCTAGAAATCTGCTACACAACATCATACCTATAGCTAGTATGGTGTTTTGTGCTTTAAAATATGATAAGAAGATAGACCTCGTGTTAGGTGTTCTAACCACAAAAGCAAAAAATCAAAAAAAATACACACACACATACACACAGGAACACAGGGAAATTTTTGGAGGTGATGCATAGGTTTAGTACCTTGATTATGGTGTTGGTAGCACAAATGTAGACATAAGTACAAACCTATAAAAATGTATACATTAAATATAAGCGTTTGTGAACATCAATTCTATTTCAGTAAAGAAATAAAAATATCACAGGAATCTATTTATATCTATCTCCTATACTCTTTCCTCACAAAAAGAAAACTAAATGGGGACATGATCTGGGAAGATTCTATTTACACAGACACTTCTAATTAAGGATGTACTTAACACCACAATTCACTTCCTAATTTCAACTTCTCTCATGACTCATGATCGCAGTTATAATGTATTGAGAGTATATGTGATAGACACTTGCTATACATTACTTGCTATATATACATCACTGTGTTTCTGCATGTAATTATGTTCTCACAATAATTATTTCCACTTATCAATGAATTAGTCAATGCTTAGACATATAAAATATATTTATGTCATGTGATTAATAAATGGAAAAAGTCAGGAGTCAAAATCAGGTCCAATTCTGCAGCCTATACTTGACTCATATGGCTGGACAGAATGATTTGGAATCACCACAATTTGCTTTGAAGGCAAAAGCTGCTCGTGAACATATTTTTTGGTAGAGGCCGGTCTTTTCACTGGCTTGCCTGCTGCCTACTTCCTTCCTAAAAATATACTGTTGATTGTTCGTAGCTTCAGAGAAAATCATTTTTCCATAAAATGCCCATTATAGTGTGTCAATGAATATGATAACATGCATAATTTACCTTGGGAGAGTACGTAATTAGAAAATTAACCTTTTACTTTTCTCCCATTAATCAGTTATAGAAAATGATAGAAGAATAACACATTAACAACCATGTCCACTGTGCTATTTTGCTTTCAATTTCTAAGTTACTAGATAGAAAGAAAATGCTCGAAGATAAGAGCCCGAATATGTTAAGGAGAGATGGCATTTTGCACATATATGGTGACTTACTCCCCATATTTTCCATATCCCTTCAAATATTCTTAATAGTTTCTTTAATTGGAGGCAGCATTTTACTCAAATGAGACAGTAAATTCAGGATTCTAGTCTTTACTTTTAAAATAATCCTTACTTTTCAAAAAGCATGACATTTGTATAAGGTTTATGTGTGCCTCCATGAAAGGGTCAGAAACATGTAAAATTGAGTGTGCTGTGTCCTGAGAAATAGAGAGGAACCAGCAGCTCCACTGCCAGATCCTATCCTCCCTCTACAGATGTGGACTTGCTTTCTTACCTTCGAGAAAAGCATAATTATCTAAATGAGAGAATGTGGAGTCATTCTCATCAAATTGAAAGATTTGAATGCCTCTAACTCTGGAACTCACAGATGATCAGCAGCATTCTCTTTGTGTTTTGAAATCACGGGGTGGATTTTAGGCATGTCATCTGTGATACTTCATTTCTCAGAGATCCTACAATGTGTGAGAAGGTAGAAAAATCTAAGATATATTAAAATTATATGTGCCAGAGGGGGAGGCATTGAATCAGTGGACTTGGCCAAGTATTACTGGCTGACTGGTTTTTAGCACATTACTTAAGTTCTGAGAGCCTTATTTGTTCTCTTTGCAAAATGGGACTTTTACTTTTCTTGGTTCCTCAAAGAACTTTTAAAAAGAAGAATTGGGGTTAAAAAGTATATGCCAAACATTATAAGTGTATGAAATATGAAATGTTATTCCTATCTGCTGGTAACTTTAAGTGGATCAATTTTGATTTCTATAGCAAACCCAAGGTAAATGCAGGATTCTGTCTTCTTAGCCTCAAATTCTCTGTAAATATAAAACTTTCATGCTCCAAAAATGTCATATATTTCCTTAGCACAGGGGTCGTTCATATATCACCTGTGACCTTGAAACCTTTACCTTTCAACCTCTTGCCTTATCCCCATCTGTGGTAGGCTAGTTAATGCCCCTTAAAAGATCTGTTATCTCCTAATGCCCTTAAGTTATACATTTCACCCCATATTTAGAAAAGGTCTTTGCAGAAGTGATTAAGAATCTTGAGATGGGGCAATTCTGCATTATCAAGTAGGGCCTCAATGAAATCATAAGGTTCTTGTAAGGGAATTTGATACAGGCAGAAGTAGAGAGAGATTTGATACAGGCAGAAGTGGAGAAGCAATGTGACCACTTAGACAGGGGAGGGAATTATGGGGCCACAAGTCAAGGAATGATGGCAGCCACCAGATGCTGGGAAAAGCAGGGATCAGATTCTTCCCTAAAGGATTCAAGGGGCATATGGTACTGTGTATATCTTGATATCTGCACAGTGTAACGATTTTACATTCTGGCCTTTAGAGTGTTAAGAGAATAAATGTGTGATTTATGAAGTCACCAAGTTTGCCATAATTTGTAACAGCAGCCATAGGAAATGAGAACTGTGCCCCTCCCATCAGACCAAAGATAATTCTAGCCAAAATGCAGAATGACTATGCAGTCTCTTTCCAAATACCTAACTTATTCCTCACCCATCTTCTTTACTGCCCCTTTCTAGCTCTTGAGCATTCATCTTAAGACTTTGCAAAATTCACTATTACCTTCCCAATGAGAAAGTGAGGGATGCATTATCTTCTCTCATGAATGCTTCTTTGCTTGCATCCTAGGTCATTTATGACACAAAAGGAACACTTTTAGATGATGAAGATTGTTGGAGTTAAATGAGTTGTAAAATATGAAGTGGAGTCTCCCAAGTGGAATGATTTAGATAAATTTCTCTTTGACAGTGTGAGGATAGATCTGAAAATTTTTTATTGAGATTATTTCATTTTCCTTTCTATAGTGAATTGTTATACATTATGTGTCTTAGCAGATTCTCGTAAGACATGTTGAATGGAAAGATGAAGTATTCTATCTATCTCTTCAGATTTTCCTTTCCGCTCCTTTCAACCCATGCTGCTGGCTTAAAAACACTTTTCATTGGAAATTTAGTGCCTCTGTTTTTACTGTGAAACAAAACAAAACAACTTTAAACTAAAGAAACTCTTAACGCTATAGCGTTAAGAAAAACAATGAATGAAACTTCTTGAAAGGTGATATATATTATATATTGTATACGTAATATATTTATATATATTATATATAAAATTAGAAATGTGAACAAACAATATATGTGTGTGTGTAGTGAAAAAGGTTATTTTAAATATATATTTATACACACACACACACACGTGTATGTGTGTGCGTGGCTTAAAAACCAGAAATTTATTTTCTTATACTTCTGGAGGCTAGAAGTCTAAGATCAAGGTGTCCATAGGATTGGTGTCTGGTGAGGTCTCTCTCCTTGGCTTACAGTTGGCTGCCATCTAACTGTGTCATAATATATATTCTTTAATATATTTTAATATAAGTAGGGTAAGAAAAAATAATTTTGTTCACATTTCTAAAGTTTTCACTGTTGGCTGCAAGATTTTTCTTTTCTGTATAGGCTAATATGCTGCTGTTTCTGCCACTTTTTAGAATTAACTAACCACAACTGATATGAGTGAATTTACCCAGTTGGCAATGACTTAAAAACTGTAGTGAAAAAGGCTATTTTAAATTAGTGTATATTGAATTAAAGAGCTGTTTGTCAGAGATCGTCAGTGAATGAGAAACATCTGTACATGTCACCTAGGTCATTGAGATATCCCCTAATATCCAGTGTCTAAGAGAGAATATATTTCTTTATGGCTTTAATGTACTGTGTACTAAGTACAAATAAATACTCAGATTTTTATGTCTAAATACCATTAATAGCATTTTTATGTCTAAAACCACAAAATGATTTTTAAAATAATGCTACTAAACATAGTGCAAAATAAATTGTTAAAACAGCTAACGGGGAAAAAATTATCAATTAAGTGAAAAGGAGAATAATTTACGGCTTTAACTACACATTTATACAGATCTCTAGCATACTGGTATATTTCTTTTTCTTTTTCTTTCTTTCTTTTCTTTTTTTTTTTTTTTTTTTTTTTGAGATGGAGTTGCCCAGGCTGGAGTGCAGTGGCGTGATCTCGGCTCACTGCAACCTCTGCCACCCGGGTTCAAGCAATTCTCCTGTGTCAGTAGCTGGGACTGCAGGCACGCGCCACCACACCCAGCTAATTTTTATGTTTTTAGTAAAGACAGGATTTCACCATCTTGGTCAGGCTGGTCTCGAACTCCTGACCTCAGGTGATCCACCCGCCTCAGCCTCCCAAAGTGCTGGGATTATAGGCGTGAGCCACCGCGCCCAACCTGCACACTGGTATATTTCTAATGCTTATCGCTGCAGCCATTTATCTTTTAGCCTTTGCCCCCATTCTTTTACGTATTTACTATATCACTGTGTGTGTTTGTATGTGAGTGTGTGTTTTAATTAGTAAGTCAAATGAAGGAGTAAGTTAGAAAATTCTAGACTGGGGATAATATAGGCAAAAATAAGAAAAACAGATGGCCTAGCAAAAAAGTAAAGGAGTTTGCACAAAGAAAGACTAAGGCAGTCAATATTAAACTATTTATTTCAGTGAATGAAATCAGATATTTTGAAGCATATTTTTGATCTGGGTACTGATGATAAATGTATACTCCTTAAAAAAATACATTAACTGGTATCCCTGTAACTAACTAGTGTACTTTTCTGAATATGTTACAAATTTTAAAATTTCACTTAGAAGTGTGAAATAAAGTGCCCAAGACATTGAAATGCATGCAATGAAGAAAGAGGGAAAAACTTAAAAATAATCCTATTTTTCTCATATTTTTGAGAATTTGCCCCTTTTAAAGAAAAACATTTTACATTTGATTTAACTCAGCTGCTAATATTGTTCAGTTTGTTAGATATATGTTATTGGTTTGGGTCAGTTACAATTAATTTACCATTCTATGAACAATGAGTTTACATGTCACTATATTCTTATTTTTTAATTCTGAATATTAAAGTTTAAAAGTTTTAATTGTCAAGAGTTAATTTCAAAAGCACCTTTCAATTAGGTAGGAAACACAAGATGCATTTTATACTTTCCTTATGTAGAAAGTTTGGAACAACAAAGGCATTCCATTATTTTCCTGGCATTAAGTAACTTTAAGTGAAGCCAGGGTCTTGTATTAAATTTTTTTGGTCTTGTATTAAATTTTTTTTCAAAAAAAAAAAAAAAGGATTGAGGGCTTAGGGTAAGGTTTCCAAAGAACAGTTTCCAGAAAAAAAGTTGAGAAATTTTGTATTGAGAATAAGAAATATTTTATTAGTGTTGGTATAGACTTGCATTCACATTTCCACTTGATTTTACATATTTAAAAATGTGAACACTTCCCTAAATAACAGAGGTCAAATTATAAAGTATATATTCTGCTTAATGTTCACAATCTTGAGAATGCACATTTTATATGGAAATTTGGAGAGTTAGGAGTTTCTAGTCCTGCAGGGAGTTAAGGCAAAGAATATTCAAAGACACAGAAATATTCAAAGGTATAGTAAGATTTTTCCAGATCTTTTTCTTAAGAAAAAAATTTCAGTATTGCACCTGATGTCTTAGTGTTAGCTGTCAGTCATCTTGACAAGTGGAGATATTTAAGGTCAAATATTGAAAATGGAATGTGGGAGAGGGTGGATAACTTATGTCTTGGATGAAAGTGGAAAAAAATAAATGGAAAAATGTGAGTATGCTTCCATTAGAAAAAAATAGATGAAAGCATTTCCATGAACAGGTTAGTATAATAATAATCATTGGAGAGCTGCAAGTAGATAATGAGAAGGATGTGGAGAAAATGAGAACATCTTCATTTTTGGAGAAATGTTGGTGGACAAATTAGAAAAAAATATAGACCTAAATTGGGGCTCTGGCATTTGCAGTTTTCTTCCTTTGGGAAGAATTCAGGTTCATATCAGCTTTTGTATTACTGTAAAAGAAAATAATAAATCAGTTAGCACCGCAGATATTGGTTCAGAAGTTTCTAGACTTACTGGGTATACAGATTGCCCTCTCATTCAGGGGTTGTTAAATTTACCTGGTAATTTACATGAAAAAATATTGTAGCACCTCTCAAACTTATTTTATTTCAATAGTTTTTGGGGAACAGGAAGTTTTTGGTTACATGAATACGTTCTTTATGGTGATTCCTGAATTTGGTGCACCCATCACCTGAGCAGTGTTCACTGTAACCAATGTGTAGCCTTTTATCCCTAACCCCACTCCTACCCTTCCTCCTGGTTCCCCAAAGTCCATTATGTCATTCTTATGCCTTTCCATCCTTATAGCTCCCACTTATAAATGAGAATATGCAATGTTTGATTTTCCATTCCTGAGTTACTTAGAATACTGGTCTCCAACTCCATCCAGGTTGCTTCAAATGCCATTATTTCAATCCTTTTTATGGCTGAGTAGTATTCCATGGTGGATATATATACACACCCACACACACACACACACATATATATAGACACACATATATATGATATATATCATATATATATATCACATTTTCTTTATCCGCCCGTTTGTCAATGGGCATTTACGCTAGTTCCATATTTTTGCAATTGTGAATTGTGCTGCTATAAATACGCATGTGGAAGTGTCCTTTTTATATAATGACTTATTTTCCTTTCCTTTGGGTAGGTACCCAGTATTTGGATTGCTTGATTGAGTATTTGGATTGCTTGATTGAATAGTAGTTCTACTTTTAGTTCTTTAAGGAATCTCCATACTGTTTTCCATAGTGGTTGTGCTAGTTTACATTGCCAACAGTAGTAAAAAAGTGTTCCCTTTTCACCACACCCACACTAACATCTTTTTTTTTTTTGATATTTTAATCATAGCCATTCTTAGAGGAGAAGGTGGTATCTCATTGAGGTTTTAATTTGCATTTCCCCAGTCATTAGTGATTTTGATCATTTATTCATATGCTTGTTGGGCATTTGTATATCTTCTTTCAAGGACTGTCTACTCACGTCCTTTGCTCATTTTTATATGGGGTTATTGTTTTCTTCTTGCTTATTTGTTTGAGTTGCTTGAAGATTCTGATATTAGTCTTTTGTCAGATGCTTAGTTTGTGACTATTTTCTCTCACTCTGTGGGTTGTCTGTTTACTCTGCTATTATTATTATTTTTCCTATGCAGAAGCTTTTTTTTGCTTCCCTTTTAAAACATAAATTCCAATTTCATATCATCTCCCTCAAGTACAAAGTTCCACAGATCTTGAGGGCTTAGGCCAATGCCACCAGTCTCTTTGCTAAAGCGTAGCAAGAGTGACGTTTGCTCCATTTCCCCCACCAGTCTCTTTGCTAAAGCATAGCAAGAGTGACCTTTGCTCCATTTCCCAATAAGTTATTCATCTCCATCTGAGTCTACCTCAGCCTGGACTTCATTGTTCATATTAATTATTATCAGTATTTTGGTCAAAACCATTCAAAAAGTCTATAGGAATTTCCAAACTTTCTTACATCTTCCTGTCTTCTTCTGAGCCCTCCAAACTGTTCCAACCTCTACCTGTTACCTAGTTCCGAAGTTGCATCCACATTTTTAGATTGTCTTTATAGCAGTGCCCCACTCTCTACAGCACAACTTTCTTGTATTAGTTTCGTTTCCTCACTGCTATAAAAAAATACCCTAGACTGGGTAATTTATAGAGGAAAGATGTTTAATTGGCTCACAGTTCCACATAAATGAGGAAGCCTCAGGAAACTTACAATCATGGCAGAAGGCTAAGGGGAAACAAGGTATATCTTTCTTACATGGTGGCAGGCATGATTCAGAGATTGAGAAAGAGTGAGAGAGAGAGAGCAAGAAAGCAGGGAAAACTGCCACTTATAAAACCATCAGATCTCATAAGACCTCATTCACAATCATGAGAACAGTATGGGGGAAACTGCTTCCATGATCCAATCACCTCCCACCAGGTTCCTCCCTCAATACATGGGGATTATAGTTTGAGATGAGATTTGGGTGGGGACACAGAGCCAAACCCTGTCAGATGGCTTTTATTTCCTTGAGGCATATCCCTTCTATGCCAATCTTGCTGAGGGTTCTTTTTTTTTTTAATCATAAAAGGATGCTGGATTTTGTCAAATGCTTTTTCTGTGTCTATTGAGATGATCATATGGTTTTTGTCTAACTTATTTTTAATCATAGGCCTTTACTCAATAAGATTATGTCACGATTAGCTCAGACACTATGATAGTGAATTAAAGTAGACAGTCTCAAAGCACATGGCGAATGATTTAACTAGTCTGGGAAGTGAGAACATGGCAGAAGTCACAGTTAAGCAGAGCCTTGAGGAATGATGTGCTACCAAGTAAAACTGTGAGTGTATTTTAGAGGAGGGTAAATAGTGCTCCACACAGAGGCAAAAGCACATGAAAAGGCTGACTAGGTGTATCAGCATATTAGTGCATTAGAAAAAGAGTGATACATTTGGGAGAAACTGAAGGAAACCCAGTGGTGCTGGGAAGCAGAAAGCAGGTGGCAGCACCATTTGAAGTAAATGCAGAGAATCAGAAACTAAAGAGTCTTATATTTTTTCTAAAAAAAGGCTTTATTCTGAATACAATAGAGAGCCATTGGAGTAAACAGATGATAATATCTGTGTTTTTGAATGTTTACTGGCTGCAATAAGAAAAGTGGGTTGGAAGGTGATTCATGCAAAGCTATTGAGTATTCTAGATGAGAGATGATGGTGGTATGGCCTGCAATGGGGAAAGTTGGATGAACAAAATTTAGTACATTCAAGAGGGACTTGGTAAAGTCTTAACACTGTATTACATAACTTGAGTGAGAAAGTGGTTGAATAGCTCATGGCTTTCTGGTTTGTGTATCTGAATATATAACTCAACCATACAAGAGATGCTGACATTGGAATAATATCACATTTGATATGTAAGCCTATTGGTTAAGTTTGAGGATAATGACATCAACATATCTTTGAAATATCTAAGTAGAGATGAAAAAATAAGTGGAATAGAGGAGAGGTTTTGTTTACCATATACTATAAAATGAATGATATTTAAAGCCAACAATGTATGACATTGCTCACAGTGTGAGAAGAGAGAGCCTAGGCCTGAGCTTTGAGGAATTTTAACCAAAAAAAATAGGAGAGAGGAAAAAATCCGGTATCGGTCATTGATTGATTGGTTGCAAACTATGAGTCTTTCTAAAATAGTTAACAACAATCTTGAATGCTACTGAGAACTCAAAAAGCTAAGGATTGAAAAATGTTTAACTGAATTTAGAGAGGACTCTTTGTATAGATTAAGTGAGTCCAGAGAGCTTGGTCTTCTCCCCAAGATGGAGACGAGATAACAAAGACAGTGCAGATAATGTTTCACAGAGTTTAGCTAGAAATGGAGAGAGAAGTATAGTAGTGATTGAGCAGAAAGTGGGGCGAAGGGATCCTTTATGAGAAAGGATAAACAATGAGAGAGGTTAAATATGTAAAGAAGCATGAATAATCAATGCTGTAAAGGTCATGAAGAGGTAGAGAATGGAATCCAAGCAACAGACATGGACCTTAGATAGGAAAAGATAACCTGCTGAAATAAACTAGGAAATTGGAGAAGTTAAGATTGTTAAAGGAGTTGTAAAATTCTGAAATACTTGTGGAATGTGACAGAGCAAACAGATCAGAGAAACACAGATCAATTTTTGGGTCATGTTGAGATTGCATTTGTGCTTGGTAATCATAAATTTAAAGTGGAACCAATCTGCACTTTTGTGTGACCTTTTCCAATAGGGCACAGTTATCTTAGTTCTGAATGTAAT
This sequence comes from Homo sapiens, assembly GCF_000001405.40. Classification (NCBI taxonomy): domain Eukaryota; kingdom Metazoa; phylum Chordata; class Mammalia; order Primates; family Hominidae; genus Homo; species Homo sapiens. The sequence continues at coordinate 39,545,390 of NC_000011.10, read as the reverse complement.
AGATGGGAAATGCAATAGATAGATTTATCTAGTTTGAGAGTTTTGCTAGATATGAAAAATAAAAAGAGAAGCAGATGTGATAAACTATGCTACTGACAAGTATAAAATTGAAATTATGGACCGTGGACTTTCTTTTGAATAAGGAGTAAAATAATGTTATCTCAAATAAGTGCAGCTGTTTCTACCTTTGTGCAAGTAAGGTTTGCAAAGATATAAAAACTATGGTCAAATAAGTACAAAATCTCCCAACAAAAAGAGAAGTAAAGAATACCGAGACTGCATCTACCATTGTGTTTACCTGAAAGATCTACACTGAGCTAGCTTGAGGTTGCAGTGGGTAAGTAAGTAGGCTTACTTTTTCTGTTACTCTACTTATTTACTCTGTCTTCATTTTTGCAGTTGGTTGTTTATAAGAGCTCACAGAGCCCTCAATTTGTCTGAGTTATTTCTGTCAGACACTCGTAGCAACACCTTTATAAGCATTAAACTTAAAAATAATAAAACCATGGAAATTATATGTTTTAATCCTCTCATTTTAAAGATGATGTATTGAAACCCAAAGAGGTGATGTATCAAATAAGAACATAGAATGATTAAGAAAGCTATAACTTAAGCTCAAATACCTTGAACCTTAACATGGGCAATCATTCATAGCCTTAATTGTCACTGACATAATGTGTTGCAGATTCATATGTTGGTATTGTAGAAGATGAGCCAGACAAAGCATATCTAAATAAATTAATATTTAATATTACTTTAGGGGCTGTTACACCTTGAGGTACAGTGTAGTTGTTTTATAAAATTGTGGCTTTCTAAATATTCTTCAAATTTTTCTACCAAAAAGACTATCCTCTCACTACTTTTAAGAATATTGCTAAATGCTATACAGTTTAACTGTTTGTCCCTTTTGAAATTCATGTTAAAACTTAATCCCCATTTTAATAGTATCAAGAGGGTGGTAAATCTGACTACAGTGTTTAAAGGTGGGAACTTTGGGAGGTAATTGGAATTAAATAAGTTTGTGAGGGTGGGACATTAGTAGCTTTGTAAGAGGAGAATAAGACCCTGAACTATCACACTAAGCCCCCTAACCATGTGATGCCCTATACTGCCTTGAGATTCTGAAGAGATGCCTTACTAGCAAAAGGTCCTTCACCAAGCATAACCCCTGTACCTTGTGTTTTCCAGCCTTCAGAACTGTAAGAAGTAAGTTTCTTCACTTTAAATATTACCCAGTCCTAGGGGTTTAGTTATGGCAACAGAAAACAGCATATGACACTAACAGACAAAATATTTCACATAATTTTAGGGAACCATTTGTGAGATATTAAAAAGTCTTACATAAGGCATTACCAAGAATGATATCCTGAAATTTGGCAAATGAAATACATTAAACAAATATGACCACAGGGCACATTTCAAAATGATAATAAAGTTACCTTGGTACATTCAGATCACATTTTGATCTCATCTGAAAAGATAGAAAGAAGAAGAAATATTAAACAAAAATACACAAAGTTTTATAACCATTATTCCTGGTATTTCATTGCTCTTGAAAGATAGATACTAGTCAAATTTTAGTACTTTCAGTAAATAAGCAAGCAAAGAAACAAATAAATAAAATCTAAAGAAAGAAAGAAATTGTGGATAGTAGATCAATGCTTTGTTCAAACCCATACTTTTTCAAATATACACTATGGTGATGTGTAGGCACAATGACAGTTCCACCAAGTAGGAAAAATGGACCTTGAATTCAGTAAAGAAAAACACTTTTAGCAGAATGCTTATGTTCATTAAGACAAAATTAATAAGTTTTTAGTTTCTATAGGACTTACTTACAAACAAAAGATGGTAAAAAATGGAAATTAATAGGTGTAAAGGTAAACTTGATGGCATTTTTCACCATAAGCAGTTGTGAGTATTGATTCTTAAGAGATGTAAACATTAATTGACAAAATTAAGAGGAATGTCGAGGAAGACAATAAAAAATGCACTTCTCACTCTTACAGAGTATTTTGGAAACTCATTTACTCTTCTTTCTTTCTTCTTATTCTGTATAATTTATTATGTAATTTATTATGTTTTGTTTGAGTTTTGGTCTAACATTTACCTAAATTTGAACTATCTTCTCATTGTAAAGAAAATAGTTCTAAGACTAAAATCTCATAAGCATGAGATTAAAGAGTACCTTCCAAAAGGGTGGAAAAAAGGTGTAAGCAGCAGTGCCTTTTAAAAAAAGATACTTTAAATGGCAGTAAACTCCAACTCTGTCTACTTAATAATTTTTTCTTAGACAAATTCAATATAGTGTTAAAATAGAAAGAAGAGCTAATTTATCCTCAGCTTAATAATATCAGTTGACTTCATTAAAATTTAAAATTGAATATCACATCAGAAAAGTCAGCTACAGTATGGATTTAGAGAAAGGTAACAGTCACAAGATTAAGGTACCCATTGCCTACACACAGCGTGAATCCTATGTGAAGTATGAATACTCACCCACCAATGGTTTCATGTAATGTGCTTGTGTAAATAAAATGACTTCTTCTATGGGAGTGCCATCAGCAAGATTCTAGAGTAAGAAGTCTTGGGCCCAACTCACCAACAACTAGTAACTATCCATAGAATAGAACATCCTTTTAAAAACTCCAACATCTGGAAATAATCCTGAGATACTCATATGGCAAGCAGAATGAAACACAATCTGAATTTCAAAGGGTAGGAGGAATGGTCTCACTCCAAACAAGCAGGCATGGTGCCAGACAGAGAGAGTTTTCCTTAACTCAGTTTTATTTTTTTAGAGAGAAAGAAAAACAAAAACTGAATCCAGCTTCCCTAGCATTCTCAGATAGCCCAGTCAGGACTGACTTCCCAGGGAACAGTGGTAAAATCAACATGGCTTGACTGCCTGGTGAGTCAGGTAGAAACAAAGAGGACTAGCACACAGATCTTCGTGGCACCTCTGCTTTCCTGCCAGCTGCAGAACTTGATCAGAAATAGCTGCCAGCCAATCTCATAATACACCTGCAAAGCTGAGACGGTAGCCTTTAGAAGTAGGATAGGAAGCACAATCTAGCTTAAGCTCCTAGACTGCTTTCCTCCCAACCCAGCCTCAGAACCGCGCCTGCCCCACCCCCTTCCCAGTGATCTCATCCAGGAAGAGAGACTTCTACCCTGTGGATCTCAGATAAGTAAAGGGGCTATACTGACTAATGATCCTGCTTAGGAATTAGGAAGGAAGACTGCCACCTCTGTGCATTTTGGAGAAACAGAGCTGCTAGTACTGCTTCAACCAGGAAATCAAGCAGCCACCTGACTCAGCCAAAGGCCAACCCCACAGCTCAACCCAGACAGGGAAGCAATCTCTAATTTCATACTTCTAAAGGAGCATAGCCTCAGGTCATTTCCCTGCCTAACCTCAGAGCCCAACCTGCAGCCCTTGCCAAACTGCAGATAACAAAGAGTGAGATTATCCAGCCAGGGAATAAATCCTGTGACTGGCCGACCAGAAGCCTATGCAGTACTGAGCCAGCAGCTCCACCTGAAAGCAGAGCCAGCCAGTGGTCTCACCAGTCAACAGACCTCAGCTAGTAGCCCCTGACAACATGAAAGCAACGGCAGCACCCCAGCTCACTAGATAACTCACAATAAGCTCTGCCTCCATAATGTCATCATTAGCTGGCCTTACATAATCATAGGCTAGATAAATAATGAAGCTCTACACCTGCCAAAGAATATCTGTTAAGGGCAGAAGAAGGCGTTGTCTCCTCAAGTGCATAGACAACAACATAAGGACATAGGATTGTAAAGAATCAGGAAGTCATGACGCCCCCAAAGAAAACTAATAAATCTACAATAACAGACCCTCCAACATGAAGATCTATGAAATGGCTGACAAAGAATTCAGAATAATATTCATTAAAAAGTTAGGTAAAGTAAAAAAAAAACCTATAGAAAATGTAATGAGATTTGAAAAACAATAAACACAAACATCAGATGAACAAAAAAACAGACAAAAGAACCAGAGAGAAATCATAGAGACAAATAATACAAAGGCTGAAATGAAAAACTTAATAGAAAGCTTCAACAGCAGACTCACACAGAAGAAAAAGAATCAATGAGTTAAAAAAAAAAACATTTGAAATTATCCAGTCAGAAGAGCAAAAAGATAATAAAGGAAGTCTAATGAATTATGAGACACCATCAAGAGACAGAATATTTATCAAATAGGATTTGCAGAAGAAATAGTATAAAAATCAGATCTGTTCATCAGAAAAAAAAGAGTGATAAAGATTTTTCAAGAAAAACAAAAGCTAAGGGAATTTATTAGCACCAGACCTATCTTCCAAGAAATGCTAAAGGGAGTTTCTCAAGCTTAAAGAAAAGGACATTAGTAACACAAAAACATCTGAAAGTTAAAAACAAAACAACAACTCACTGGTAGCAGTAAGCACACAGTCAAATTCAGAATATCCTAACAGTGTTATAGTAGTGTGTAAATCACATATATCTTTAATATAAAGGTTAAAAGGCAAAATTATTAAAATAATAATATTTACATAAATTCCTAAGGGATATGCAATATAAAAATGTATATTTTGACATCAAAAACTCACTCAGAATGTACAGATGAGAACTGGGGTTAATATGTAGAGACTTTTCTAAAATATTGCAATTAAAGTTAAGTTGTATCAGCTTAAAATAATCTCTTATGTGTAATGTTTTTTGTAAGCCTCATGGTAATCACAAAGCTAAAATCTATAGTAGATACATTACATTAAAGATAAAAAAGCAAAGAATCAAAACTTACTGTTAAGGGAAGTCACTTAGAAAGTAAAATAGGAAGAAACAAACTACAAAACAACTAGAAAATAATTAACAAACTGGTGATCATAAAGTTTACCTATCAATAGTCACCTTGAATACTATGGACCTCAAATATGTCTGGCAGTAGACTTTTCAGTGGAAACCTTACAGGCTAGGAGAAATAGGCATGACATATTTAAAGTGCTGAAGATTAAAAAAAAAAAGGATATCCTTCAAACATGAAAATAAAGATTTTCCAAGATAAACAAAATCTGAGGGATTTCTCAATATCAGACCTATCCTACAAACAGAAAGAAAAGAACATTAATGAGCAATAAATAATCAACAGAAGGTAGAAAATTCAGTGATAATAGTAAGTACACAGAAAATCACAGAATATTATAACACTGTAAATGTATTTGTAAACTACTCTTATCCTAAATAGAAAGATTAACTATGAACCAATCAAAAATAATAAGTACAGGCCAGTTGCGGGGGCTCACACCTGTAATCCCAGCACTTTGGGAGGCCGAGGCGGGTGGATCACGAGGTCAGGAGATCAAGACCATCCTGGCTAACATGGTGAAACCCCGTCTCTACTAAAAATACAAAAAATTAGCTAAATATACATTCACCGAACATTGGACCACCCAGATATATAAAGGAAATATTAGAGCTAAAATAAGAGACAGGCCCCAATACAATAATAGCTGGATACTTCAACACTTCACTTTCAGCATTGGACAGATCTCCATATAGAAAATCAACAAAGAAACATCAGACTTAAGTTGCACTATAGACCAAATCGATCTGATAGATATTTACAGAATATTTCATTCAATAGCTGCAGAATACACGTTCTTTTCCTCAGCACATTGATCATTCTCAAGGATAGATTATATGTAAATCACAAAATAAGTCTTAAAACATTCAAAAACTTGAAATAATATCAAGCATTTTCTCTGACAACAATGGAATACAAATAGAAATTAATAACAGAGGAATTTTGGAAACTATACAAAACTATACATGGAAATTAAACAATATGCTTCTGAATGACAGATGGACCAATGAAGAAATTAAAAAATTTCTAGAAACAAATGATAATGGAAACACAACATACCCAAACCTATGAGATACAGCAAAAGGAGTACTAAAAGGGAAGTTTATAGCTATAAAAGATCAGAAAAGAGTAAAAAGATAACAGTATAACAATGTCATAAAGAGTAAAACTTAAAATAAACAATGTAACAATGCATGTTAAAGAACTGGAAAAGCAAGAGCAAACCAAACCCAAAATTAGTAGAAAAAAAGAAATAATAAAGATCAGAGTAGTGATAAATGAAATTGAAATGAAATAAATACAAAAGATCAATGTAACAAAAGTTGGTTTTTAAAAAATGTAATTAAAATTGACAAAACTTTATCTCAACTAAGTAAAAAAGGGAAAAGATACAAATAAATAAAATCAGAAGTGTAAAAAGAGACATCACAAATGATACTGAAGAAATTTTAAAAAATCATTAGTGACTATTATGAGTAACTATATCCCAGTAAATTGGAAAATCTAGAAGAAATGAAGAAATTCCTAGGTACAGACAACCTACCAAGATTGAACCGGAAAGAAATCCAAAACCTGAACAGACAAATAACAAGTATAGATATTGAAGGCGTACTAAAATGTCTCCCAGTAAAGAAAAGCCCAGAACAAGTGGTTTCAATGCTGAATTATACCAAACATTTAAAGAACTAATACCAATCTTACTCAAAATATCCAAAAAATAGACGACGAGGCAATACTGCCAAACTCATTCTACAAGGCCAGTATTGCCCACATACCAAAACCAGAAAAAGACACTTTAAGAAAACAAAACTACAGCCCAATATCTCTGATGAATGCTGATGCAAAAAATCCTCAAGAAAACACTAGCAAATAGAATTGAACAATACATTAGAAAGATTATTCATCATGCTCAAGTGGGATCTATCCTTGAGAGGCAAAGATGGTTCAGCATACACAAATTAAACAATGTGATACAACAGAATAAAGAATAAAAAACATATGATCATTTCAATTGATGCTGAAGAAGCATTTGATACAATGCAACATCGTTTTATGACAAAAACCCTCAAAAAACTGGGAATAGAAGGAACATACCTTAATATAATGAAACCCCTACATGACAGACCCACAGCTAGTATCATACTGGATGGGGAAAAACTGAAAGCCTTTCCTCTAAGATCTGGAACATGACAAGCACACCCATTGTACCACTGTTATTAAGCATAGTACTATTATAGATAGAGGGAATCAGATGAGAAAGATATAAAGGGTGTCCAAATTGGAAATAAAGAAGTCAAATTATTCCTGTTAGCAGATGATATGATCTTATATTGAAAAAACCTAGATTCCACAAGAAAACTATTAGAACTGATAAACAAATTTAGTAAAATTTCAGTAAACAAAATCAACATATAAAAATCAGTAGCATTTCTATATACCAACAGTGAATAATAAAAAAAAGAAATTTAAAAAATAATTCCCGCCAGGTGTGGTCTCACGCCTGTAATCCTAGTACTTTGGGAGGCCAAAGTGGGTGGATTATGAGGTCACGCTATCAAGACCATCCTGGCCAACATGGTAAAACCCCATCTCTACTAAAAATACAAAAATTAGCTGGGTGTGGCTGCATACACCTGTAGTACCAGCTACTGGGGAGGCTGAGGCAGGAGAATTGCTTGAATCCAGGAGGCAGAGGTTGCAGTGAGCTGAGATCACACCACTGCACTCCAGCCTGGGTGACAGAGTGAGACTCCATCTCAAAAAAAAAAAAAAAAAAAAAAGCAATTTCATTTACTATAGTCACACAAAATTAAACAAACACATAGGAATTAATTTAACCAAAGAAGTAAAAGATCTCTAATGAGAATGATAAAACACTGATGAAGGAAACTGAAGAGGAAACCAAAAAGTGGAAAAACATTCTATGCTAATGAAGTGGAAGAATAAATATTAAAATGTCTGTACTACCCAAAGTAATCTACAGGTTTAATGCTATTCCTATCAATCAAAATACCAATGACATTCTTCACAGAAGTAGAAAAAACAATTCTAAATTTTATATGGAACCACAAAAGACCCAGAATAACCAAAACTATCCTAAGCAAAAGAACAAAGCTGGAGGAATTACATTAACTGACTTCAAATTATACTACAGAGCTATAGTAACCAAAACAGCATTGTAGTAGCATATAAACAGACATATAGACCAATGGAACAGAATGGAGAACCCAGAAATAAATTCACACACCTACAGTGAATTCATTTTTAACAAAGTTGCCAAGCACTTACACCAGGGAAAAGACAGTTTCTTCAATAAATTGTGCTGGGAAAACTGTATATTCATATGCCAAGGAATAAAACTAGACCCCATCTCTTGCCATATACAACAATCAAATAAAAATGTATTAACAACTTAAATTTAGGACCTCAAACTATGAAACTGCTACAAGAAAACATTAGGAAAATTCTTCAGGACATTGGTCTGAGCACAGGCTTTTGAGTAATACCCCCCAAACACAGGCAACCAAATAAAAAATTTGACAAATAGGATCACATCAAGCTAAAAAGCTTCTACAGGGTATAGAAAGATGGCCAAATAGGAATATCTTTGGTTGGCAGCTCCCAGTGTGATCAACACAGGAGATGGGTGATTTCTGCATTTCCAGCTGAGGTACCTGGTTCATCTCACTGGGACTGGTTGGACAGTGGGTGCAGCCCACAGAGAGTGAGCCAAAGCAGGGCAGGGCATCGCCTCACCTGGGAAGCACAAGGGGTCAGGGGATTTCCCTTTCCTAGCCAAGGGAAGGCATGACAGACTGTACCAGGGAAAAATGGGAAACTCCTGCCCAAATACTGCACTTTTCCAATGGTCTTAGCAAACAGCAGACCAGGAGATACTATGCCACACCTGGCTCGGCGGGTCCCACGCCCACAGAGCCTTGCTCAGTGCTAGCACAGCAGTCAGAGATTGACCTGCAAGGCAACAGCCTGGCGGGGGGAGGGGCGTCCGCCATTGCTGAGGCTTGAGTAGGTAAACAAAGCGGCCTGGAAGCTCGAACTGGGTGGAGCACACTGCAGCTCAGCTAGGCCTGCTGCCTCTGTACACCACACCACTGGGGGCAGGGCATAGCTGAACAAAATGTAGCAGAAACCTCTGCAGACTTAAACATCCCTGTCTGACAGCTCTGAAGAGAACAGTGGTTCTCCCAGCACAGAGTTTGAGCTCTGAGAATGGACAGACTGCCTCCTCAAGTGGGTCCCTGAACCCTGTGTAGTCTAACTGGGAGACACCTCCCAGAAGGGGATGACTTACACCTCATACAGGCGAGTGCCCTTCTGGGACAAAGCTCCCAGAGGAGGGATCAGGCAGCAATATTTGCTGTTGTGCAATATTTGCTGTTCTGCAGCCTCTGCTGGTGATACCCAGGCAAACAGGGTCTGGAGTGGACCTCCAGGAAACTCCAGCTGACCTGCAGCTGAGAGACCTGACTGCTAGAAGGAAAACTAACAAACAGAAAGAAATAGCATCAACATCAATGAAAAGGACAATCATACCAAAACCCTATTTGTAAGTTACCAACATCAAAGAGCAAAGGTAGATAAAACCACAAAGATGGGGAGAAACCAGAGCAGAAAAGCTGAAAATTCTAAAAATCAGGGCGCCTCTTCTCCTCCAAAGGATCATAGCTCCTCGCCAGCAATGGAACAAAATTGGACAGAGAATAACTTTGACAAGTCAACAGAAGTAGGCTTCAGAAGGTCGGTAATAACAAACTCCTCCAAGCTAAAGGAGGATGTTCAAACCCATCTCAAGGAAGCTAAAAAGATTAGAGGAATGGCTAACTAGAATAAATAATGTAGGGAAGACCTTAAATGACTTGATGGAGCTGAAAACCATGGCACGAGAACTTCCTGAAGCATGCACAAGCTACAATAGCCAATGCAATCAAGTGGAAGAAAGGGTATCAGTGATGGAAGATCAAATGAATGAAATTAAGTGAGAAGTTTAGAGAAAAAAGAGTAAAAAGAAATGAACAAAACCTCCAAGAAATATGGGACTATGTGAAAAGACCAAATTTACGTTTGATTGGTGTACCTGAAAGTGACGGGGAGAATGGAACCAAGTTGGAAAACACTCTGCAGGATATTATCCAGGAGAACTTCCCCAACCTAGCAAGGCAGGCCAACATTCAGATTCAGGAAATAAAGAGAACACCACAAAGATACTCCTCGAGAAGAGGAACTCCAAGACACATAATTTTCAGATTCACCAAGGTTGAAATGAAGGAAAAAGTGTTAAGGACAGCCAGAGAGAAAGGTCGGGTTACCCACAAAGGAAAGCCCATCAGACTAACAGCTCATCTCTTGGCAGAAACTTTACAAGCCAGAAGAAAGTGGGGGCCAATATTCATTTTTAAAGAAAAGAATTTTCAACCCAGAATTTCATATCCAGCCAAACTAAGTTTCATAAGTGAAGGAGAAATAAAATCATTTACAGACAAGCAAATGCTGAGAGATTTTGTCACCACCAGGCCTGCCTTACAAGAGCTCCTGAAGGAAGCACTAAACATGGAAAGGAATAACTGGTACCAGCCACTGCAAAAACATGCCAAATTGTAAAGACCATTGATGCTATGAAGAAACTGCATCAATTAACAGGCAAAATAACCAGCTAACATCATAATGACAGGATCAAATTCACACATAACAATATTAAACTTAAATGTAAATGGGCCAAATGCCCCAATTAAAAGACACAGACTGGCAAATAGGATAAAGAGTCAAGACCCATCAGTGTGCTGTATACAGAAGACCCATCTCAAGTGCAGAGATACACATAGGCTCAAAATAAAGGGATGTTGCAAGAACTACCAAGCAAATGCAAAGCAAAAAAAAGCAGGGGTTGCAATCCTAGTCTCTGTAAAACAGACTTTAAAACAACAAAGAAAGATCAAAAGAGACAAAGAAAGTCATTACATAATGGTAAAGGGATCAATTCAACAAGAAGAGCTAACTATCCTAAATATATATGCACCCAATACAGGAGCACCCAGATTCATAAAGCAAGTCCTGAGAGAGCTACAAGGAGACTTAGACTCCCACACAATAATAGTGGGAGACTTTAATACCCCACTCTCAATATTTGACAAATCAATGAGACAGAAGGTTAACAAGGATATCCAGGACTAGAACTCAGCTCTGCACCAAGCGGACCTAATAGACATCTACAGAACTCTCCACCCCAAATCAACAGAATATACATTGTTTTCAGCACCACATCACACTTATTCTAAAATTGACCACATAGTTGGAAGTAAAGGACTCCTCAGCAAATGTAAAAGAACAGAAATCACAACAAATTGTCTCAGACCACAATGCAATCAAATTAGAATCCTAAGCAAAAAGAATAAAGCTGGAGGCATCACAGTACCTGACTGCAAACTACACTACAAGGCTACAGTAACCAAAACAGCATGGTACTGGTACCAAAACAGAGATATAGACCAATGGAACAGAACAGAGGCTCAGAAATAACAACACACATCTACAACCATCTGATCTTTGACAAACATGACAAGAAATGGAGAAAGGATTCCCTATTTAATAAATGGCCCTGGGAAAACTGGCTAGCCATATGTAGAAAGCTGAAACTGGATCCCTTCCTTACACCTTATACAAAAATTAATTCAAGATGGATTAAAGACTTAAATGTTAGACCTAAAACCATAAAAACCCTAGAGGACAACCTAGGCAATACCATTCAGGACATAAGCATGGGCAAGGACTTTATGACTAAAACACCAAAAGCAATGGCAACAAAAGCCAAAGTTGACAAATGGGATCTAATTAAACTAAAGAGCTTCTGTACATCAAAAGAAACTACCATCAGAGTGAACAGACAACCTACAGAATGGGAGAAAATTTTTGCAATCTACCCATCTGACAAAGGGCTAATATCCAGAAACTACAAAGAACTTGAACAAATTTACCAGAAAAAAAACTCCATCAAAAAGTGGGCCAAGGATATGAACAGACACTTCTCAAAGTAAGACATTTATGTGGCCAATAGACACATGAATAAATGCTCATCATCACTGGTCATCAGAGAAATGCAAATCAAAACCAACCACAATGAGATACCATCTCACACCAGTTAGAATGGCGATCATTAAAAAGCCAGGAAACAACAGATACTAGAGAAGATGTGCAGAAATAGGAACACTTTTACCCTGTTTGCAGGAGTGTAAATTAGTTCAACCATTGTGGAAGGCAATGTGGTGATTCCTCAAGGATCTAGAAGTAGAAATACCATTTGACCCAGTGATCCCATTACTGGGTATATACCCTAAGGATTATAAATCATGTTACTATGAAGACACATGCACACATATGTTTCTTGTGGTGCTATTCACAATTGCAAAGACTTGGAACCAACCCAAATGTCCATCAATGATAAACTGGATTAAGAAAATGTGGCACATATGCACCATGGAATACTATGCAGCCATAAAAAAGGATGAGTTTATGTCTTTTGCAGCGACATGGATGAAACAGGAAACCATCATTCTCAGCAAACTATCACAAGGATAGAAAACCAAATACCACATGTTCACACTCATAGGTGGAAATTGAACAATAAGAACACTTGGACAAAGGGCGGGGAACATCACACACTGGGACCTATCATGGGATGGGGGGCAGGGGGAGGGATAGCATTAGGAGAAATACCTAATGTAAATGACAAGTTGATGCGTGCAGCAAACCAACATGGCACATGTATACCTATGTAACAAACCTGCACGTTGTGCACATGTACCCTTGAACTTAAAGTATAATTAAAAAAAAATAGAAATTAACACTCTATGAAATGATATTTAAAAGTTGATATGAGGGTAGAGAGAGGGATGAATAGGCAGAGTACAAAGAATTTTTAGGGCAGTAAAGTCTTCCGTGTAGTGGATACATGGCATACCAAACCCAAAGAATGTACAACGCCAAAAGTGAACTCTGAACTATGGACGTTGGGTGATAGTGATGTATCTATAGGCCCATCAAATGTAACAAATGTGACATTCCAGCGGGTGATGTTGATTGTGGGGGAGGTTGTAGAGGGGGGTCATGGTGAGGGGTAAATGGTGACTGTACATACCACTCAATTCTGCTGTGAACCTGAAACTGCTTTCAAAAATAAAGTCTAATAAAAAATTAAAATAAAATAAAAAGGTTCTACATAGTAAAGGATACAACAACAAAGTGAAGAGACAACCCACAGAATGCAAATTACCCATCTGATGATGGATTAATAACCAGAATATATGAGTTCAAACAACTCTATAGGAATAAATCTAATAATCTAATCAAAAAATTGGCAAAAGATTTGAATAGATATTTCTCAATAGAAGACATACAAATGGCAAAGAGGCATATGAAGAGGTGCTCCCAATACTGATCATCAGAGAAATTCAAATTAAAATTACAATGATATCGTCTCACCCCAATTTAAATGGCTTATATCCAAAAGACAGGCAATAGCAAATGCTGGCGAGGGTATGGAGAAAGGGAACCCTTGTACTCTGTTGGTGGGAAAGTAAATTATTACAACCACTATGGAGAACACAATGAGGAACAGTTTGAGGAACCATTTGGAGGTTCCTCAAAAAATTGAGCTACCATATGATCCAGCAGTCCCACTGCTGGGCATATACCCAAAGGAAAGGAAATCAGTATATTGAAGAGATATCTGTACTTTTATGCTGCAGCACTGATTACAACAGCTAAGGTTTGGAAGCAACCTTCCAAACCTTAAGGTTGTTCATCAACAATGAATGGATAAAGAAAATGTGGTATATATAAACAATGGAGTACTATTAAGCCACAAAAGAGAATGATATCCAGTCATTCACAACAACATGGACAGAACTGGAAATCATTAAGTGAAATAAGCAAGGCACAGAAGGACAAACAATGCAATTCTCACGTTTTTGTGGGACCTAAAAATCAAAACAATTGAATTCATGGACATAGAGAGTAGAAAGATGGTTACCAGAGACTGGAAAGGGTATTGGGGGTTTAGTGGGAGGTGGGAATGGCCAATGGGTTAAAAAAATAGAAATAATGCCTACTGTTTGTTAGATAGCAAAATAAGGTGACTATAGTCAATAATAACTTAATTGTACATTTTAAAATAACTTAAAGAATGTAATTGGATTGTTTGTAACTCAAAAGATAAATGCGTGAGCAGATGAATACCCCATTCTCCATGATGTGCTTATTTCACATTGCATGCCTGTATCAAAACATCTCATGAACCCCCTAAAATATATACTATGTACCCCACAAACATTTTAAAAATTAAAAATAAAAAACATTAAAATTAAAAAATAATCGCCTTGAATTTAAATGTATTAAATTCTATAATTTAAATATAAAAAGTAACTGAATGTATAAAAAAGAAAACAAGGCTGAACTATATGTTGACAACAAGCTACTCATTTCAATGGTAAGGACACATATAGACTAAAAGTGAAGTGATGGAAAAAATATTCCGTGCAAATGGTAACCAAAAGGGAGGAGTAGCAGCAATACTTATATTGGATAGAACAGACTTCCAGATAAAATAATAAAAAAGAGACAAGGGAGGTTATTAAGTAATGACAAACGGGTTAATTCAGTAAGAGTATGTAACAATCACGTATATTCACCCAACATCCAATCACACATACACACGATTGGTCTATCTTTTTGCATTTAGATCTATAATGCATGCATTTTCTCTAAAGAGAGAAATTGATTGCAATACACTAATACTAAGGAACTTTAACCCCCCTCCCCCAACTTATAGCAACAGACAGGTCATCCAGACAGAAAGTCATAAAAGAAACACCAAATTTAAACTGCATCCTAGACCAAATAAACCTAATAAAAGTTTGCACATTTCATCCAAGAGGTGAAGAAGATACATTCTTCTCAACTGCACGTGGAACATTCTCCAGAACAGACTATATACTAAGCTAGAAACAGATCTTACCAAATTTAAGAAGGTTGAAATGATATAAAGTGTCTTTTTTGACCACAATGGTATTAAACTAGAAATTAATAATAGAAAAAACATCAGAAAATTTACAAATACATGAAAACTGAACTACACACTCTTGAAAAACCAAGGGGTCAATAAATAATTAAAAGGGAAATTTAAAAATTTATTGAGATAAATGAAAATGGAAACACTTCAAATCCAAACCAATGGGATACAACAAAAGCAAAATTAGGAGGGGAGTTTACAGCAATAAATGCCTACATCAAAAAAGAAGAAAGATCTCAAGTAAACAACCTATCATTGCACTTCAAGAAGCTAAAAACATAAGAAAAAAACAAACCCAAAATTAATTGAAGGAAGGAAATAATAAAGTTCAGAGCTGACATAAAATAGAGACAAAAAATACAAAAGATCAACAAATTAAGAGTTACTCTTTTGAAAAGATAAACAAAATTTGCAAATCTCTACTCAGACCAAGAAAAAAAGAGAAGACTCATGAAAATAAAAGTAGAGATGAAAAAGAAGACATTACAACTGATACCACAGAAATACAAAGGATCATGAGAAACTATTACGAATAATTATATGCCAAAAATCAGATAAATTCCTGGACATATACAACCTATCAAGATTGAATTATAAAGAAATGGAAAACCTGAACAAACCAATAATGAGTAATGTAATTAAACTAGTAATAAAATGTCTCCCATCCAAAGAAGTCCAGAACTCGATGGCTTCACTGAGTTATTCTACCAAACATTGAAAGATCTAACAGCAATTTTACTAAAACTATTAAAAAAATTAAAGAGAAAGAAATACTTTCAAACTCATCTACAAGGCCAACTACCCTGATACCAAAACCAGACAAGAACAAAACAAAACTATAGTCCAATATCCTTGATGAAAATAGATGAAAAAATCCTCAACAAAATACCATCACACTGCGTTTAATGTCATATTAAAAAGACCATTCACCATGATCAAGTGGGATTTGTATAAGGGATGCAAGGATAGTTCAACATCATGTGCATCGTATGAAAATCAATCATTGTAATACATTACAATAACAGAATGAAGAATGAAAAAACCATATAATTGTTTCAATAGATATAGAAAAAATTCAAAAAAATTAATATCACTCCCTGATTTAAAAAAAAAAACTCTCAACAAATTGAGTATAGAATGGATGTACCTCAACACAATAACGCCATATATGACAAACCCACAGCTAATATCATACTGAATGAGGAAATGTTGAGAAGTTTTTCTTTAAGATATGGAACAAGACAAGGATGTCCACATTTGCCATTTTTTTTTCAGCATGGCACTGGATGTCCTAGTCAGAGCTATCAGGCAAGAGAAGAAAATAAAAGACATTCAAATTGGAAAGGAAGAAGTTAAATTGTTTGTTTGCAGATGAAATAATCTTATATTTAGGAAACCCTAAAGATTCCACTAAAAATTATTAGAATTTATTTTTAAAATTCAGTAAAGTTACAGGATACAAAATCAACTTAAAAAATCAATAGCACTTCTGTACAATAGCAGCAAACTATCTTAAGTAATCAAGAAAACAATTTCATTTATAATAGGCACAAAAAATTAAATATATATTTTTGAGATGGAGTCTTGCTCTGTTGCCCACGCTGGAGTGCGGTGGCACAATCTTGGCTCAATGCAGCCTCTGCCTCCCAGGTTCAGTGATCCTCTCACCTCAGCCTCCCAAGTAGCTGGGATTACAAGCATACACACCACGCCAGCTAATTTTTGTATTTTTAGTAGAGAGGGGGTTTCGCCATGTTGGCCAGGTTGGTCTTGAACTCCTGATCTCGAGTAATCCAACTGCCTTGGCTTCCCAAAGTGCTGTGATTACAGGCGTAAGCCACCATGCCTGGCCTGTATTAAATATTTTAGAGTAAATATAACAAAGGAGTTGGCAGATCCCTACACTAAAAACTATATATAAAACATTGATTAAAAAATTAAAGATTAATAAATGCTATTACATGCTCATGAATTGGAAGAATGAGTCTTGTTAAAAATTCCATACTACTGAAAACAGTCTGTAGATTAAATGCAATTTCTACCAAAGACCTTGAGTAACCAAAGCAACCTTGAGCAAAAAGAACAAAGCTGGAGACATCACACTACCTGACTTCAAAATATACTACAAAATATACTTCAAAATATACTACAAACCAAACACCATGGTGCTGGCCTAAAGTGAGACACATAGACCAATGGAACAAAATAGAGAACACAAAACTTAGCACCTGTACTTACAGCCAAGTGGTTTTTGACAAAGATGCCAAGAACACACAATGGAGAAAGCACAGTCTCTTCAATAACTGGTGCTGGGAAAACTGTACCCACACACAGAAAAATGAATCTAGGCCTCTATCTTTCACCACATACAAAAATCAAATCAAAATGGATTAGAAATGTAAAGGTAAGGCCTGAAACAGTTACATTCTTGGAAGAAAACACTTGGGAAATGTTTCATGAGATTGGTCTTGGCAAGAATTTTCTGGATAAGACCCCGAAGGCACAGGCAACAGAAGCAAAAATATACAAATGGGATTGAATCAAACTAAAAGTTTTCTGCACAGCAAATAAAATAGTCAACAGAATAAAAATAACCTACAAAATCAGAGAATATATTAGCAAACCATGCATCTGACTAGAGGTTAATATACAGAGTATATAAAGAACTCAAACAACTGAATAGCAAAAACAAAACAAAATAACCCCCACCCCGCAAAAAAAAAACCCTCAAATAATGTGACTAAAAAATAGGCAAAATATATGAATCGACATATCTCAAGAAAAGACATGAAACAGCCAGCAGGCATTAAAAATTATCAGCATCGTAATAATCAATCATCAGGGAAATTCAAATCAAACCAAAAACATACTGAGACATCACCTCACTCTCATTAGGATGACTCTTACTACAAAGAAAAAAAATAACAAATGCTAGCATGGATATGAAAAAAGGGAAACTCTTCTGCACTGGACCTAAGTGTCTAGCACGGCAAATAAAGAAGGAAAATGTGAAATATATATGCCATGAAATAGTATTCAACCATATAAAAAGAATAAAATCCCATCTTTGTGGTAATATGAATGAACCTAGATGACAGTATGTTAAGTGAAATAAGCCAGGCACAGAATGACAAATAATGCATGATTTCATTCATATGTGAAATCCAGAGAAGTTGATCTCCTTGAAGTAGAGAGTAGAATAGTAGTTACCAGGGGCTGGGGAAAGGAAGGGTGGGGAGATAGAGAAAGATTAGTCAATGGGTAGAGATTTACAGCTGGACAGGATGATTAAGTTTTGGTCCCCTGTTGGAGCATAGAGTGACCCTGGTTAGTAACATTGTATTTTATATTTCAAAATATACAATTTTTAGAATTCTAGAAGAGATTTGGATTGTTCTCACCACAAAGAAATGATAAATGTGTTAGTTTATGTATATGCTAAATATCCTGATTAGATTTTTACAAAATGTATATATGTATTAAAACATCACACTGTACCTCCAAAAATATGTACAATTATTACAAGTCAACTTTAAAGAAAATTAAAAAACACTTCCTTTGAATCTATAATTTTTCAGAATACTGTGGTTTTCTCTTAAAACCTGCTGTACCAGAAACATTGGCTTGATATTCATTATTCTTAAAGTTAATTTCATTGGCACCAATACCACACCATTTACACATACTCTACTGTCCATATATTAAAGGGTTGATTGTTGGCAGTGTAAATATTTGTCTTATTTAAGATGAATTCCTTTTGACCACATTCATATGCTCTGGTCATAAATGATATTATTTTAATAGCTGTCTGAGTTAATGTTCCAGTGCTAAAATAATAAAGATACATTACTAACCCTTCTCCCTCTTATACTATAATAGTATGGCTCTTCTTATAGATTTACACAGTTCAGATACTGAATACTAATCTATATGCATGGGTAGAGAATCATCTTATAATGATAAGAAAATTGTTAAGTCGTATCAACTCTTCTAAAAGCAAGAGAGAGAGAGAGAGCTGCTGCTCCTATTTCTGATGTCAGGGGCACAACTTCCTTAAACTTAACGTTTTTGACTGCAATGTTCACTAAGCTTGTAATATAATTCACTATTGGTTTTGTTCATTGAAGTATCTCAAGCGCCTAGGATGGTAAATTGCTCATGATAGGTGTTCAGTAAATTCTTGTTGAATAAATAAGATATATGTTGGCACTGGAGAGGCTAGATCACTGTCATAGATGGGATTGCATAAAACAGACATAAAAAGCAAAACATTAAGAATCACTGTTAAAGAAAGAAAACAGAAAGCACAAAACAATTCTATGTTGTCTGAAACCTTATTTACTGCTTCTAAAGAATCTCTTCATACAATTTGTTTAACATTTGAAAATATCAATAAGTGTTTTACATTAGAAATATTGTATTAATGTCCAGTAGCTAAGAAATAAAAGTTCAATACAAAGATATGTAACATAACTGGGTGTTGTAAGTGGATTTCACTATAGTTTGACAGTTTGATCATTTATTTCCCTTTGGGAAATGTATGTTTTATTATACACCATGCTGGGGATTATAATTATTTCTAGAGTTGAAAGTCAAACAAAGGTCTAAAGGTCAATTCATGAATTATTGAATCAGAAAGCTGCTGAAAATGGTCACTTGTTGGTGTTCAAATTTCTGAAATCCCAAACCATACCCAGGGGTGATCTAGTTGGAATAATACTGGAGCAGCAGCGATATTTCCTAGAAGTTGAAAGCAACCTGTAAATAGTAAATTGTGATGGCAGGGGCAAACATCAGTTTTAGATATTCTAATTCTCTAACACATTTTTAGCAAGGGATGCACAGTAACAGGTAAGCCACAGATTTTCTTCAAAATACAGTGAAGAAATGAAATTGAGAGATGTAGCAGAGATTCCAGGTTGAGTGGGCATTTAAACAATTATATCATTAGCTCATGATATACTAAAATGGGTACTTTACCAAGAACAGCAACCAAGGTAATATTATGAGTTAATATTATACGTTACTACTTTGACTCGATATAATAAACTTAGGATATGGAATAATTGTCACCATCAATTGAGAAATGTTTTGTAATAATGATTAAAGTACCAAAATTAATCCATGAGTAGTTGACTTTTGGCTTTTATATTCAAATCTGTTTAAAGATATTCCCAGTTTAGCATCACTTTCTCTTGAATTCTAATATATACTTTATGAAGGGAAATAACAAACAGATACAAAAACTCTAGTGAGCTGGGATTCCTGCATAGTCTACTGGCTATCTTATTGTTATGCAGCAGTGGTAAGTGATCATTTCTGTTTGGTTAGTAATTGTAGCAATTCTAACTTATTACAGCTCTTGAATTATACTTAATTTATCTTGTTAATGTCTTTATAATCTAGATTGTCCTAGCATATGTTTCAACCTTATCTATCATGTTTCTCATGTATTATTCAACATATATTTTTAGTACCTACCGTACATATTTCACTGTTCTGGCATATGAGGATTAATCTCTGGTCCTGTGAAGCTTGTAATTTAAGGTGCAAATCAAAAGAAACAATGAATAAAAAAGATATATTACAAGTATGTTAAAAAACCATACACTCTAAAGAGAAAGAAAAAGACGTGCCATGCTAATGACTATTGTGTGATGCTGAGTGATGAGTTGCTCTTTTAAACAGGTAATCCGAAAGATAGTCTTCTTTGAGAAATGGATATTTTAGGAGATACTTGGAGATAGAGGAGGAAACTTCTGGGAGGAAAAAAAATTCATGTAGAGAGAAGAGCCAGTGAAAAAGCCCAGGGAGGGAAATTATGCCTGGCATGATCAAGGAACAAGAAAAGAAGTGTGTCTGAAAATGTTGGGAATTTCAGAATTAATTTGCTAATTTACCTAAAGTTATTTTTGGAAAAGGACTCAAAACAAAAATGTAGACAAAGTCATGAAGTCAAAACAAAAAATTATACTTCAAACAAAGAAGAATCAGCCTTATAATGTCAAAAGGTTAATCACTGGACAAAAAAAACTAGAGAAAAAAAGAGCACTTGATTACAATAAAAGATAGAAGATAGACTAAAAATATCAGCCAAATATATAAAATATCTGAAACATTTTAGCATCAAAACTTACAGTAGATATTTAATAACAATATTTTATTGTATAATAGGAGACTATATTTTTTCTTCCAGCTCAGAAGAGACTGAGTGGAGAAAATTATTTAAAAATATAGAAATTGGCCGGGCGCAGTGGCTCACGCCTGTAATCCCAGCACTTTGGGAGGCTGAAGCGGGCAGATCACAAGGTCAGGAAATCGAGACCATCCTGGCTAACACGGTGAAACCCCGACTGTACTAAAAATACAAAAAAAAAAAAATTAGCCGGGCGTGGTGGCGGGCGCCTGTAGTCCCAACTACTCGGGAGGCTGAGGCAGGAGAATGGCTTGAACCCGGGAGGCAGAGTTTGCAGTGAGCCGAGATTGCGCCACTGCACTCCAGCCTCGGTGACAGAGTGAGATTCCGTCTCAAAAAAAATAAAAATATTAAAATGTAGAAATCTATAATAACTTAATGAATAAAACAGATATATAGTATGCATCAAATCATACATTGTGAAAACAGTGAATATACATTATTTTAAAATACCTATGAAACAGTAACTGCAAAAACTACAAAATACACAAAGGACAAATAATATTACAATAAGTTACCAAAAAAGTAGAAATGTAGCAGGGGTCATTACCTAATCACAATGCAGTCAAACAGGAAATTAATTGTAAATCAAATAATCCATCCAGAAATTAAGTAAACAAAGGAAACTTTTAGCATTTGATAGAAAGGGGAAACCAAACCCAGATAGAATATTATAAAATGAAGAAAATGAAAATAGGTCAGAACTTGTGACCAAAGTGTTACTCAAAGAAATATTTATATCTGCCTATCCCTATATTACTAAAAAAGAAGGTAAAATAAAGGTAATAGTCATGAAAGATAAGAAAACTAAAAAATTGATAACCTAATAAAAAGAAAGGAATGTAAGTGAATTGGTAAAGGTTAAGAATAGAATTTACTGAGTTAGCAGAAAATTATAGCACTTATAATTAAATCCAATGTGGATAATTTTTGAAAAATTTAAGTAATTTGGATGAATTTTTACTAAATTTTGTATACAAAATAATGATGAAGAGAAAAACTTTAGTACAGATACAATAAAAAGAATTAAATAATGTTTTTGAACTTCTGCAGAAATAAATAAATACAAGAAACACTAATGTATGATTCCCTAGAAGGCCAATAATTGCCAGACTATCCTGTGAAGATATTTCTATCACCATGATTGTTCAACAAAATTTTCAGAGATTATGTTAACAAAGCAATATGAAAAGAAAATTAAATACTTTGTAAGGGAAGAAAAATACTATTTATAGATCATATAATTTAAATAGTGGAATTAAGAAAATCCTAACGAATTAATGACAACACCAAGGAGACAAGAAGTTTCCTTAAATAAGATCTTCCAGTATCACAAAATATAAAGCCAAAGATATATATATATAAAATATAGCATATAAATATATATCTATATAAATATATAACATATATAAATATATGTATCATATATAAAAATATATAACTATATTAAAATTAAGTACTTTTATCAAGAACATGACAAGCTAAGATTAAGAATGGGTGTAGGATTAGAAGAAAATATCTGCAATATATTTAATTTTTAAATAATTGGTATCTAGAGTACCCAAAAAATGATATGTTAACAAGGAAAAAAGAAAACCAAAGTGACCCATAACACTTTAAATTTCAAAATTCGCATTGAAATAGAGCTTGCAGTTTAAAATATTAAAAATTTTAAAAATACATTTCTGACATTATAAGACGACTTACTACAAAACTTTTACATACAAACATGTACAAAAAACCAGTGATTACTACTGCAAGAAAAACCTAATAGAAAAAATAAGCTGGGCGCAGTGGCTCACGCCTGTAATCCCAGCACTTTGGGAGGCTGAGGCGAGTGGATGACCTGAGGTCAGGAGTTCAAAACCAGCCTGGCCAACATGGTGAAACCCCGTCTCTACTAAAAATACAAAAAGTATCTGGGTGTGGTGGTGGGTGCCTGTAATCCCAGCTACTCAGGAGGCTGAGGCAAGAGAATCGCTTGAACCCGGGAGGCAGAGGTTGCAGTGAGCTGAAATCGTGCCATTGCACTCCAGCCTGGGCAACAAGAGCAAGATTCTGTGTTAAAAAACAACAACAACAAAAAGAAAATCTTCAAATATCTATATCTTTTTTTAAAATTACACTTTAAGTTCTGGGATACATGTGCAGAACGTGCAGCTTTGTTACATAGGTATACATGTCATGGTGGTTTGCTGCACCCAGCAACTCATCATCTACATTAGGGATTTCTCTTAATGCTATCTCTCTTATTTCCCCCCTGAACCCCCGACAGGCCCCAGTGTGTAATGTTCCCCTCCCGGTGTCCATGTGTTCTCATTGTTCAACTCCCACTTACAAATGAGAACATGCGGTGTTTGGTTTTCTGTTCCTGTGTTACTCTGCTGAGAATGTTGGTTTCTAGCTACATTCATGTCCCTTCAAAGGACATGAACTCATCCTTTTTTATGGCTGCATAGTATTCCATGGTGGATATGTGCCAAATTTTCTTAATCCAATCTCTCATTGATGGACATTTGGGTTGGTTCCAAGCCTTTGCTATTGTGCATAGTGCTGCAATAAACATATATGTGCATGTGTCTTTATAGTAGAATGATTTATAATCCTTTGGGTATATACTCAGTAATGGTATTGCTGGGTCAAATGGTATTTTTAGTTCTAGATCCTTGAGGAATTGCCCCACTGTCTCCCACAATGTTTGAACTAATTTACACTTTCACCAACAGTGTAAAAGAGTTCCTATTTGTCCACATCCTCTCCAGCATCTGTTGTTTCCTGACTTTTTAATGATCACCATTCAAACTGGCATGAGATGGCATCCCATTGTGTTTTGATTTGCATTTCTCTAATGACCAGTGATGATGAGCTTTTTCTCATGTGTTTGTTGGCTGCATAAATGTCTTCTTTTCAGAAGTGTCTGTTCATATCCTTTGCCCACTTTTTGAGGGGGTTATTTTTTTATTGTACATTTGTTTAAGTTCCTTGTAGATTCTGGATATTAGCCCTTTGTCACATGGATAGATTGCAAAAATTTTCTCCCATTCTGTAGGTTGCCCCATTCACTTTGATGATAGTTTCTTTTGCAGTACAGAAGCTCTGTAGTTTAATTAGATCCCATTCATCAATTTTGGCTTTTGCTGCCATTGCTTTCGGTGTTTTTGTCATGAAGCCTTTGCCCATGCCTATGTCCTGAATGGTATTCCCTAGGTTTTCTTCTAGGGTTTTTACGGTTTTAGATCTTATGTTTCAGTCTTTAATCCATCTTGAGTTAATTTTTGTATAACGTGTAAGGAAGGGGTCCAGTTTCAATTTTCTGCCTTGACTAGCCAGTTTTCCCAATACCGTTTATCAAATAGGGAATCCTTTCCCCATTGCTTGTTTTTGTCATGTTTGTCAAAGATCAGATGGTTGTAGATTGGTGGCATTATTTCTGAGGCTTCTGTTCTGTTCCATTGGTCTATATATCTGTTTTGGTACCAGTACCATGCTGTTTTGGTTACTGCAGCCTTGTAGTATAGTTTGAAGTCAGGTAGCTTGATACCTCCAGCTTTTTTCTTTTTGCTTAGGATTGTCTTGGTTATATGGGTTCTTTTTTGGTTCCATATGAAATTTAAAGTAGTTTTTTCTAATTCTGTGAACAAAATCAATGGTAGCTGGTTGGGGATAACATTGAATCTATAAATTACTTTGGGCAGTACAGCCATTTTCACAGTATTGATTCTTCCTATCCATGAGCATGGAATGTTTTTCCATTTGTTTGTGTCCTCTCTTATTTCCTTGAGCAGTGGTTTGTAGGTCTCCTTGAATATCTTAAGATATGTATGAACTTATTATTGAAGTAAAATACCTTCTTATATTTATTATTTAAAGAAAACTAGAAAATTATGTAATATCGAGGTACTCTCCTTATGCTGCTATTGAGATGTTAATTTGTGAAGCCCCCTCTGAAACTAATCAAACAGCACTGATTGTATTTAATATGGGCATTCTCCATAATCTTGAAATTTTGATTCTGAGGAAAACCTTTGAATACATTTACAAGTATGTATTTAAGAAGAAGTTCATAGTAATGTTTCTTTTTCTAACAGTGTTGAAGGCAATGTAGGTGTCCATCACAAGGGGAAATAGATAAGGTATGAGCTAAATCTACATGTTGCAATATGACTAGATCACTGAAACATAATGTTTAGAACAAATTGGTATTACTCTAGCCTAGGTGTTTTTCCCTGAGAAACAAATACAACTGTCCATCTTTCTTCTTTTGGATATTTTCTTAAATATCATCTTTTCAGTTAGGGCTTCCTAGCCATCATATTTAAAATATCAAGTTAACCAGAATGATTAGAATCTCCTAGCTTCATCCTTCTTTCAGCTTTATCTTCCTTCATAGTGCTCATTGTCACCTACTACATTGCATGTTTAAATTATGTATTTTTTGTCTCTTCTTAAAATATGTATTGAACAATGGTCTGTCCCTTGTGTTTAATAAATGTTTGCTAATTACTTTTTTCCTAAAATCTCTTTGATCCAACATTAATATTGCTGCATCACCTATCTGTTAATTTTTAAAATTGGCCTTAACTTAGTATATTTTGGTTACGTGTGAGTTTTCAAATTTTCTGTGTTATCAATTAAAATATGTATTTTCTAACTCAGATATAGTTTCTGAATTCAATGAGGTTCATGACATTCATTGGTTTAATATTTATTTTGCTTACTAATGATAAGAAACTTTAGAGAGGTAGGTGGTGCATATCATGTTTACTTGATACTGGTCCAGTAACTAGTATCATTTCTGGTATATGATTAATGTCTTAGTTGAATGAAGTTGATAAATGAATACTTGTTTTTCAAAATATATGAACTAGATAACAACTGGCAGTGAAGAGAGTGTAAGGCGTGAATTTAAAATAACATGAGCTGAATCATTTTACAGCTAAACATGTTTTAAAATTTTCTAGTTATATATACATATATTTATCAGATTTTATATATATATATATATATATATATACACACACACACATACATAGAGAGAGAGAGAATACTCAATTGGAGTGAGAACACAATCGAAGTTAAATAACCTTTGTGACTTTAGGACTGAGAATATGTATAATTTCCACAATATCAAACATGTTTATTTATGTGATGTTACTTTAGCTAAAAAGAATTTTTTAAAATATTGAGGTTATAAAGATGCTCAACCCATTTTTATTTTATTTAATTGTTACAGGAATGTAATCCATCTCATGAAGTGATTTACTGTATTATGGTAACACATTAGTCACTACATGTTAGCAATTTTTCTCCAAAAATAGGTAATGTTATTAAGTAAAAGCATGTTAGATGTTGGGCATTCCCTAAGGCTTCTGTGAAAAATACCATGCTACTTTCTTTTTCAAATTAAATATTGCTGGCTTAAAAGCACTAATGGCTAAAATCCCACTTAATCATTTTTTTCTACTTTTACCTGTTCTACTTTAAATGATCTTTCTACATGGAAACAGATTGCATGCATGGATCATGATTCGCATTTTGACAAACAGAATTAGATGGGAAAAGAATTCTGGGAAATATATCAGGGTTATTATAATACAAATCACCAAAAAGGCTGATAAAACATAAGCAGCTAAAATCATGAAAAAATCTCTCTCCTCATGAATCCTTGTGGCTTTACTATTACAGTAGATAATCACCATGGTAAAAGCTTTGGATACAGAATAAGGATAGAGTAAGTCTTGGAAGATAAATTAAGAAAGTAAAATCCCATTATTATGGATAATACTATTCAGATTACCATGTCACAAGGGCTGAATAAATTAAAGAAGTTCCATCTAGCTGAGACTTAAAATAATGATTTACAAAACATTGCATGATAGTAATGAATCTTTGGATCTCTTCAAAGAAAATTCCAATTTAAAGATCTATAAATACTTCTAAATAGGTAACCAAGATAAAAACAACACAATATTGCTGTTTTTCTTTTTAAACTCCTGTTTCTTGCTTCTGCTATTTTGATCTTATATTCTTAGTAAGCAAGGTATCTAAACATTTTCCCAGAAATGAAAAATATCTTATTTTATTATTGTTTCTCTCTCTCTCTCTTGAAAAATCATAGTAGTTCTGATTTAGGTTAGGTGTGTGTTAAAGGAATTTCCAATTTAAGGAAAATAGGAATTTCCACAATAGGCTATACTATGCACAGATAATGGCTCCTTATCCAGTTTATAATCTATCTGGTATCACTCTACTTTCTTCACATAAGAAGCACATAAACTTTTCTAAGCATCATGTGTCTTCTGTTCAAGGAAGCTCATCAGTATATTAACTGTGATTTTTGGTGATACCAGAAGTAATATTTTTTAGAGGCAAATGTATTTCTGATTAGGGCGATGGTTGGAAAGCTGAGCTGTTAATTATAGAGACTTATGTCCTGGAAATCTCTCCTTTCTCAGATGTTAGGACCTAAAGGATATCATAGATACTTATTTCTGGAGAAAAGATCTTAGGAGACAATATTGATATATATTATGTAAGTATATAAATACATAAGAAATATACATATTTATAAAATATTTCTCTCTCTGTTCCTCTTCATTTTTTCCCTCATTCTCTCTTTTATTCAGTCATCTGCCTGCTCCATCCTTATAGGTTAAGCAAATAAAATTCAGGAAGCAAGTGGTAGATTTTTCCTTAGTGTCTTTCCACAAGCTTTTCAGACCACATACCCTCCCTTAGAGCTTTAATCCACTCTCCTGCTGCCACACCTTCTCTGTACTTTTCTAGTTAGATATGAGAGCTTATAATATTGGGATGTCTATGTTGCTTGTGATTTGGTGGATATTTTAGAAGACATATGCTAATACTATAGAATACAATACAACGGACAAAAAATAAGGAATAACTATATGAACAAACAAATGAAATTATAAGGTATGTCTTTAAATTAAAAATACATAAATCATTTACAGCAAAATATCTACAATATGAAATAATATATTAACAACTCCCAACACACCCCTAAATACAACTTCCCTCACTATACAAACACACATATTTCTTACTGGTACACATATGTATGTAAATACTAGAAAAAAGCAGTGACTAGTTGGTGATGGCAAGGATAGACTTGGAGAAAAGCATGCTAAAAAGGGACGTCAGTCCTATCTGCAAAGTTTATTATTGTATTTTTATATGCAGAATATATCTGTGCCTTATATAATTCTTTTTCTATTTTCAGACAGAGTCTTGCTCTGTTTCCCAGGCTGGAGTGCAGTGGCACAATCTTGGCTCACTGCAACCTTCGCCTCCCAGGTACAAGCAATTCTCCTGCCTCAGCCTCCCTCATAGCTGGGATTACAGGCACACGCCACCACGCCTGGCTAATTTTTGTATTTTTAATAGAGATGGGGTTTTGCCATGTTAGCCAGGCTGGTCTTAAACTCATGACCTCAAGTGATCTGCCTGCCTCGGCCTCCTAAACTGTTGGGATTACAGACGTGAGCTACCACACCCGGATGCCTTATATAATTCTTGAAATAGAGGAAAGTGAGAAAGAGATCAAGGGGTAGAAGAGCAAAGGAAAGATTAGGCTGTAACAGATCCATTAAAAATATTTTTTAAAATATGCAACTATTTGCTATCTAATAGATGTTCAGTAAATAAATATTTGCTGAATTTAAAAATTAATAAAGTCTTATAACAACAATGGGAGTATTAGCAATTTAATGAAGCAGAATATTTCAAAATTAACTGTCTCATTTCTCTTCTGTAGGTTTCTTATAAGCAATAAGATGTGTGTTGCACCTACATTCAAAGAGGATTTATAAGACATTGAGTCCTTGAGCCTCCTTTGTAACTGAAAGCTTCTTGATTTTTAACACTATCAGAGCCATGATATCCCTAAAAATATGTTTATGCCCCTTGTCCTATCTTGAATTGAAATTCATGGATAATATAGACCATCTAAACATGTAATTAAGTCAATTTATAATAATTGTAATAAATGGAGGAATAAAAATAAACATATTTCTTATAAAGCAGAGTGTAATTTAATATGTACATATTTTCATTACCTTATTAAAAGATGTCATGAATTAACCAGAGATTAAAACCATATGTACAAATGCAGACTAATACAAGTGTGTTACATTGGTCACACAAATAACTCAGGAAGTGCTACCTTTGGAGATAGATACAGCTTTTAAAAAAGTTCTAAACCAAATAAAATCCAGTCTTCCATAGATACAGATACAAGAAGATTGCAAGCACAAAAAATTCATTTTACGTGAAAATCTTGAAAAATCTGAGAATAGGTAAAATGAGATTAGATTGTATGATCATATAACTACCTTAGTGTTTCTGTGACTATCTGTCATGTGATTTCAAAGTCATAAGGCATGCAAAGGAGCCTGTATCATGTGGAATTGTTCAAATGTCTGGTATAGTCCTGCCCTACAAAATGTTATTATCTTTCTCATTAGTGTGGCAATATATAAAACATTAAAAATGTTTTCTAGGTGTATCATACTTACTAATAACTATTATCTTAGATGCTTGGAAGTGAACAGACCAGATTTTTCTAGATGGAAAGTGATCTGATAAGAGTGGCTTCTTAGAGGCAAGAAAGCCTAAGGGAGCTAGGATACACCGGATCAGTGGAAGAGGAAAGATGTACACACACACATACACACACACACACACGTTTGGGAACTCCACGCACAAGTTTGATACAGAATGGATGGATGCTACTTGTGGTGCAATTTGGTTTTTAGTAGACCTTGTCAGCCTAGGCAAGAATACTGAGAGCAGCAGGTATGATGGCTGCAGACTAGATTTGAGCATTTTCCCTAGATTAAGTCAAAGTTTTGTTTACATACTAAGAAAATAGATTCTCTCCACTCACTGTTTTACTCACAAAATGAGGCCCAAGTCATGTATAATTTCATTTAAAAAATAAATAAAATAGGAAAGTTCTGGTTAGAAATCTTAAACTGAACACATGAATTTAGCTCTATTGTCTTTTGGAACCCCACCACCACAACAATAAAAAATATAACTCAAGAAGTAAAAACACACACACAGGCAAAGAAAAAATTAGAGGGAAAAACAACAGCATTTTATGTTTGAAAATATGAAACAGACAAGCATCTAACCTAACAAGCATAGTTCTAACCTAGAAGTAGGGAAAGCAAAAAAGCAATTCTACTTAAATCACAGAGGTTTAAAAAAATCTCAGAATCAACCCCATCCCATTTTTTTTTTCTGAAAAGGAGAATGATTACTGCCCCTTCCCCCGCCGGAAAAGAAAAGTTTGCTTTAAGTCAACTCGGGCTGCCATAACAAAATACCATAGACTGGGTGGATTAAACAACCAAAATTTATTTTCTCATAGTTTTGAAGACTGGAAGTCCAAGATCAAGATGCGAGTATGGCTGGTGTCTGGGGAGAGCTCTCCCATTGGGTTGCCCATGACAACCTTCTCACTGGCAAGTGGGAAGGAGCTCTGTGGTATCTTTTCTCATGGGAATACTAATTCCATTAGGCCAGGGCCACACTCTTAAAAACTTTATGTGATATTAATTACCTCCTAAATGTCCTATCTCTAAATATAGTCACATTAGGGGTTAGGGCTTTAACAAATTAATTTTGAGAGGGATACAATTTAGTACATAGCATTCTGACCCCGGCCTCCCAAAATGCATGTCCTTCTTGCATGCAAAATACATTCAGTCCATCTTGATAGCCCCAAAATACTTCCTTGATTCCAGCATCAACTCTGAAGTCAAAAATCCAAAGTCTCATCTAAATATGTAAATTAGATATGAGTGAGATGCAAAGTACAATTCATCCTGAGGCTACATTCAGCTTGAGCTGTGAGCCTGTGAAGCTAAATAAGTCTGAACTTCTAAAATAAGATGGTGGAACAGGCATAGGATAGAAATTCTCATTCCAAAAGGGAAAAATCAGAAAGAAGAAAGTTATCGGTTCCTAGCAAGTACAAGACCTAATAAAGCAAATTCCATTTGATGCTAAGCCTGGAGAAGAATCCTCTTTGGCTTGATGTCGTGGACCTTCAGGTGCAGTGGGGTAACTGCTCTGTTGGATGGATCTACCTCCATGTCACTGGGCCATGGCCTTGCCCCTGAAGAACTGGTTGAAAGCATCATGGTACCCCAGAATGAGAGAGGCCTCACCCTTTAAAACTGAGAAAGAACTAGCCCTGGCCCCCGGGCCTGTGGTGGTAGTGACAGTCCTACTTTTATACCTGAATTGCCTTTGAAGTCATTCTTCCATTTTCTTGAAGGTTTGCTGTGCTGGGAAACTTTATGCTGCAGGTTTGCAGCAAGAGGGTTCTGTTGGTACTATATAACACAAGAAATCCAAGTATTTCATTTCCTTCCATCTCTGTCCCTTTCAGTTCAAATTGGCAGTGTGTCTTCTCATATAATCCCATACTCCTTTTATCAAATGATAGTCCAGCTACATATTTTTGGTGTTCTCTTCTGAATATGATTTCTCATTTTTACAATATGGATAAGCTGATAATTTTTCAAATATTTAAGTTCAGATTATTTTTGCTTAACAGTGTCTTCATCAATTCATCTCTCTCTTTTACATTTTGCTATAAGTAGTTAGGAGGACCCAGGCTACACTCTCAATATTTTGCTTAAAAATAACCTCAGGAAAATACCCAATTTTATCACTTGCAGGTTTTACTTTTCACAGAGTACTGGAATACAATTCAATACAATCCAACCAAGTCCTTTACCACTTTATAACAAGGACTGCTACTACTATCTGAATGTTTCTGTCTGCCCCCAGCCCCAAATTCCTATGTTAAAACCTATCACCAATGTGATTATATTAGGAGGTGAGGCCTTTGAGGTGTGATTAGATCACTGGGTTGTAGCCCTTATAAATGGGATTTGTGTCCTTATAAATAAGTTCCCAGAGAGCTGCCTTAAGCCTTCTGCCTTGTGAGAACACAAGAAAGAAGGTGCTATCTACGAACCAGGAAATGGACTCTCACTGAATCTCCTGTCACTTTGATCTTGGCCTTCCTAGTTCCCAAACCTGTGAGAAAGAAATTTCTGTTGTTTGTAAGCTACTCAGTTTATAGTATTTTGCTAGTATCCCAAATTAACTAAGACAAAATTGGTACTGAGAAGTGGGAGTGCTGCTGTAACAAGACCTAAAACATGGATGTGGCTTTGGAACAGGTTAATGGGTAGAAACTGGAATAATTTTGAGGTGCATGCTAGAAATAGCCTTCATTATTGGGAATGGACTGTTAAGGATGATTCTGGTGAAGGCTCAGAAGAAGAAGAGAGCTCTTACATGGCCATGATCAGAATGCTGATAAAAGTGTATATGGTAAAGGTTATTCTCAGGAAGTCTCAGACAGAAATAAGAAACATATTATTGGAAACTGGAAGGAAGGCAACCCTTGTTATAAAATGGCAAAGAACTTGGCTGAATTCTGTTCATGTCCTAGTCTTTTTTGGAAAGTAGAACTTGTGAGCTATGAAATTGTATATTCTGCTGAAGAAATTTAGAAGCAAAGTGTTGGAGGTACAGCTTGGCTTTTCTTAAATGCTTACAGTAAAAGGCAAGAAAGGAAAAATGATTTAAAGACAGAATATTCAATAAAACAGGAAGCAGACACTCTTATATGGAAATTTATCCATATATTCATATTGAAAGTAATACAAAAGCACATTTGGGAGAGAACAAGGCTACATCCAAGCTGACATTTAATAAGGAGATTAACAAGGATCTTCCATTTTTATGGAAGCCAGAGGCTATTTATCAAGGCAATAGCAAAATGACCCAGAAGGTATTTCAGAGATCATCAAAGCTGCCCATTCCATCACAGGCCAAGAATCTGAATGAAGACAATTGCCTTTCCTACAGTTTCTAATAATATTTTCCTCATTTCTGTCGAAGACTCCACTAGAATGACCTTTTAAAGGTCCATATTCCTACCAGCATTCTGTACATCACTATTTATGTATTCTCTAAGAAGATACAGTTTTATCTCTAGCTCTCTTTTCTTTCTGAGCTCTCATCAGAATTGATTTTAATGTCCATATTTCTGCCAACACTATCTTTGCAACAATCTAGATTTTTCTAGCAAGAACCTAAAAAATTTTCCAACCTCTGACCATGACCTAGTTCCACAGCCATTTCCACATTTTTTAAAATCAGTATCAGGCCATCGATTCTTGGTTCCAAAATCTGTTTTACTTGGCTTGAGCTGCCATAAAAAGATACTATAGATGGGTTGGGTTAAACAGCCAAAATTATTTTTTTACATACTTGGAGACTAGAAGTCTAAGATCAAGTTACTTTCAGGGCCAGTGTCTGAAGAGGGCTCTTTCCTTGGGTCACAGATGACTACCTTTTTGCTACGTCCTCACAGGGCAGAGCAGGGGATTGAAGTAAGCTCTCTGATGTCTCTTCTTCTAAAGACACCAATTCTGTAGAATCAGGGCCTGACTCTTATGATCTCATTTAAACTTTATCACCTCCTAAAGACTTTTCTTGAAATTCAGACACATTGGGGATTAAGACTTCAAATATGAATTTTGGAGTGATACAGTTTAGTCTACAGCAGTCATTTAAGAAGTGGACTCACCCAAATCTTTCATCTATTGTGAAAAACCAAGAGGATGGTTCTTAGTCATTCTGGCAGAAGATAGGAGGTTTATTCTTAAGGGAAGGTAAAAACAGAGAATCCCTGAACTGAGGATTTTAAAATCTAGCTAAGTGCGGGGGATAATTTTTGGAGACATTTAACCTTAGTCCCCCACTCAGTTCCTAGACCACTTAGTACTGAGTCCTTTACTGAGTTCTCAGATAACTGGTCAGGTATATTTATTCTAGAAAGAAAAAAAATGAAAACAAAACAAAACCAAAACATATCAAAACATGGAAGTATGTTTTCTGGGGAAAAATAACTAAGGAAAAATATTTTCTTCTAATGATATCAGGGACTGTCTAATAAAATGTTACAACCAGATTGCCTTACAGACTAGAGCACAGTTGTCATGTTTTACCCAGAGGCTTAGAACTTCCAACCAGATTTAACTGCCATGTTTTAAAATGTGAAGAGATAGCCATGGATCACTACACATTTAGACATTTGTTTATATTATGAAAAATAGAAATAAAAAGCAAACAAACACAGGAAGGACAACTTGGAAGAAACCGTTATTGAAAGGAGAATAAAACTTCAGTAGACGTTAAATAACCAAAAAGACCAAAAGGAGATATTTTCTATAAACAATAAACAAAATATTATCTTTTAAAAATCAAGAAATTAAAGAAAAAATGTGGTTGTTAACCTAAATTATGAGAGCAATATGAAAAACCACCCACTTTGAAATTAATATTGTAGAAATTTCCTAGAAACTAGAAAAAAAGAACAAAGAAATAAAAATAGTTTAAAATATTAAAAAGAAAAGTTTAGGGGAAAAATCCATAAAATAAAACATCCAGGCTGGGCGTGGTGGCTCACACCTGTAATCCCAGCACTTTGGGAGGCCGAGGCAGGTGGATCACGAGATCAGGAGATCAAGACCATCCTGGCTAACATGGTGAAACCCTGTCTCTACTAAAAATACAAAAAATTAGCGGGGTGTGGTGGCGGGTGCCTGTAGTCCCAGCTACTCAGGATGGTGAGGCAGAAGAATGGCGTGAACCCAGGAGGCAGAGCTAGCAGTGAGCTGAGATCGCGCCACTGCACTCCAGCCTGGGTGACAGAGCAAGCCTCCATCTCAAAAAAATAAAATAAAAATAAAATAAAATAAAATAAACCAAATAAAAGTAGTTCAAAAGTGAACAGAGATAATGTAAATAAATTATCAAATAAATAAATTAGGAAAATATTCCAGAACAAAGTATCCAGATTGAAAGAACTGCCTAATGTATGAATATAGACATTCATGGAGGCACATCATTATAAATTTTAGAATGCCGGGGGCAAAAAGGTGAATGTAAAACTTTCTGATGAGGAAATCTGTCTCCTCTCAGACAATATTCCTAATGTTGCCATATTTTTCAAAAGCAATACTTGAAGCTAGAAGTCAATGGAGTAAAACCATAAAAGTCAGACTTTTTTTTAAATCTAGAATTCTATTCCCTGTCACATTAGCAATAAACTTTATAGCTAGAATTGATAGTTTCAGTCATGCAGGCAATAAGAAATTGACTTCACCTTTCCCAGGAGCTAATGAAATAAGTGTTCCCATGGCTTTTTCCCCTGCTCCACCCCTACCCTATGAAAGAGAAGACAAACAAACAAAAGATAGAAGATCTAAGCATAGGACTACTACATAAGAGAGAGTCTAAGACAATGCCTAAGATTATGTGGATTAAGATCCCACATGACTGCATAGAATCCCTAGAGAGCAATAAATCCAGTTGAAGGAAGTCAGAAAACTCTACAAAATATTTGAATATATGGAAAAGACTTTAAAACTTTAAAAATATTTAGAAATAAATTATTGATATATATCAGTAATGATTTTGCTTGATATATATATACATACATAAAGCAAATATATATCAAACAAAATCATTAATTTTAAAAATTGTTTTAATCATTTATATATTTATTCAATAAGTATACTGAATGCTCATTAGAGTATAGCACACTATAAGGAAAATCATTTTTAGAGGAGTTAAGTTATAATCGATTCTCATTAAAAATTATTGTCAGAATCAAAATACTTCTAATTACTAGCTATATAAGACGGGCCAGTTACTTAAATTCTAAGCACCTTTAAAACAAAATTATGAAATGAGGATAATTTCTTTTCTCAGACTATTGTGAAAATTAAAGTAGATCATTTGTTTCCTATTACTTTGATATTCCTATTAGTCATACACCCAGACATGCTATTTAAAGTGAATTTAGTGTATTTTAACTGGTTGTAGGTACGGATGCTCCTTGACTTTTAATGGGGTTCCATTTCCATAAACCCAACATATTTTGAAAATATCATAAGTCAAAAATGCCTTTAATATACCTAAGCAACCGAGCATCATAGCTTAGTCTTGTATTCCTTAAATGTGCTCAGAATACTTACATTAGCCTACAGTTGTGCAAAATAATCTAACACAAAGTTTATTTCATAATAAGGTGCTGAATATCTCATGTAAGTTTTGTTTTGTTTTGTTTTGTTTTTTTTTTTGAGACGGAGTCTCACTCTTGTTGCCCAGGCTGGACTTCAGTGGTGCGATCCCAGCTCACTGCAACCTCTGCCTTCCAGTTTCAAGAGATTCTCCTGCCTCAGTCTCCTGAGTAGCTGGGATTACAGGCACCCACCACTACATCTGGCTAATTTTTTTTTGTATTTTTGGTAGAGACGGGGTTTCACCATGTTAGCCAGCCTGGTCTCAAACTCCTGACCTCGCCCGTGATCCACCCTCCTTGGCCTCCCAAAGTGCTGGGATTACAGACATGAGCCACCGCGCCCAGCCCTCATGTACTTTTATGGAATACTGTGCTGAAAGTGAAAAAAAAATGGTCATGAGGGTACCTGAAGTATGGTTTCTATTGAACACATTTTGCTTTTGTACTATCATAAAGTCAAAAAATCACTAAGTTGCACCATCTGAAGTTGGGGACCATATGTGAAAACATTAAAATTGCTAGCATTACTGAAAACTACAATATTATTGAATTTGAGACATAATAAAGCTTTTTTAGGCATTTTAAATGTAATTATATTTTAGGCAAATTTTTATGCAAACTTTTTGCTACCCACATTTTAAGTAAAGCATATCTTCATACAAGTTTAGAACTTAATTAGAAATTTGAATTGCTTATAAATTTATCATATCTGTAAATTAAATAAAATGTATGAAATTTCTATTGAGAAGAAGTAGTCATTAGTGCTTCACAAATGTTAAAAAAAATACAATCTTATATTCAACAATATGGTACTGAACAACAATTGAGATGAGATTAAAATCAAGGTTAAAAGCACTTGTATTAATTAAACAATTCCTGGAAGGCTTGGGGTCAAATGTGGGTTTTGATCTCTGTTAATCTGAGTAGACACCAGACCATATAATAAATGTGACCTACTTGATTTTGCAATCATTAGAGTTCCAGCTCTTCATTGCTCAAGATATCATGATTTTTGTTGCATTTGTTTGATGCTTCTACTCGGTTAAACTTGTAAATAAAAGTTGTGTTACATAATAACAATGAAAGAAAAAGAAAAATATTTATATAATTTAACTTAGTTCCTGGGACAATCATCAATTTGTCAATTACATCTAAAAATAATCTTAAATAAAATGTTTAAAGACTAGAAATCTTGACCAATAAGTACCTCCTTAGATCCTTTGATGACATTAACAGCATTCCTGAAAGCTAACTGCAGGCACACTTTATGCAAAACTGTATTTCCAACAAGCCACATATAAGTCATTCTCTATTTTCTCATTGACTACAAAATGAATTCCATGAGGCTTTATCATCACATGCAATTTATTCTTAGAAGGCTGTTGTTCTTAAGACTCATTTTTGAGTTCTTCTTAAGTACCAGGCAGAGGTCAAGGCCACAAACATTAAAAAAAAAAAAATTCTAACTTATCTGAGCAGGAAAAAGCTTATTAAAATGAAATTGGTTAGTGCCCAGAAATGTGGAGGGCTGAAAAACCAAGCTCAGAATATGAGCAAGAATGACCAGACACGGTGGTTCACCCCTGTAATTCCAGTATTTTGGGAGGCTGAGGTGGGTGGATCACCTGAGGTCAAGTGTTCGAGACCAGCCTGGCCAACATGGTAAAACCCCATCTCTGCTAGAAATACAAAAATTAGCTGGGCGTGGTGGCTGGTGCCTGTTATCCTAGCTACTCAGGAGGGTGAGGTAGGAGAATCACTTGAACCCAGGAGGCAGCGGTTGCAGTGAGTCAAGATCACGCCATTGCACTCCAGCCTGTGCAACAAAAGCAAAACTCCGTCTCAAAAACAAAACAAAACAGAATATGAGCAAGAGTAAAGAAATTAAGCAGCAAGGCTCTAAACTACTAGCAGAGCTCAAAACTGTTTCATCAAGGGCGACAATGTCACAGCTTCCCCTGATGACCTACAAACTGGTTGTTTCTGTTTCTATTGCAAGCTGCCGCTACTTCCTTGGTTCAATAGCTTATGATTCAATCGAGGGTATTTCAATAATTAGGTAAATGTACATTCATAGGGACAAAAAAAAAAGCTGGGAAAAAGAACATCTAGCATTTAGGGCTTCTGTAGTAGAAGACTGCTCTGCATCCCCTCAAGATACTTACAATGGGATAATCCCAAATGTACTAAGGGAGTTCAGGTACTAGCAAACAAAGGATGACAACTGTTTATGCCATCTTGTTTCTAGCACCTGAGATCAGTAAAGAATGATTTACAAATTAGCACATACCCAAAGGAGCATAAGAGAACCTTCCATTGCTATCCATCACAAACTTATTGTCACGTGTATAGCCTCATTTTTGTTTATTGCCTTGATTTCTCCAAATTTTTATTTGTTTAATGATAGATATACCTATACACTAACATCAATGCTACAAGAAAGGGAGTTTTGTTTCTACCCTTTGTTGATCTTTCAAGCTGACCACTTACACACGTATATCACCATGTAACTAAAACACACGATATTGACTGCCCTACAATTTCTGCCTCTACTCAACCATGTGGTTTCAGTGATAGTGATATGGTTTCGCTCTGTGTCCCCACCAAAATTTCATCTCGAATTGTCATCTCCACATGTCGAGGGAGGGACCTAGTGGGAGGTGATTGGATTATGGGAGTGGTTCCCCCCATGCTGTTCTCATGACAGTGAGTGAGTTCTCATGAGATCTGATCATCTAAAAATGTGCCACTTGCTCCTTGCTCTCTGTCTCCTGCTGCCATGTGAAATGTGCCTTTCTTCCTCTTCACTTTCTGCCATGATTGTAAATTTCCTGAGGCCTCCCCAGCCATGCTTTCTGCACAGCCAGTGGAACTGTGAGTCAATTAAACCTCTTTTCTTTGTAAGCTACCGAGTCTCAGGTAGTTCTTTACAGCAATGTGAAAATGGACTAATACAGATAGCTTCAGTCTAGTTAGTTTACATGATCTTCTCTCCTTACCCAATGAATTGCTCTGAACAGTTGAGCAAAGCTGGGCCAAGGAGAATTATTCCACAAGATTTGTTTTCTAATAGCATTGCAGGAGAAAAAGTATTTCATTTAAATCTGAGACTCAGGCTCCATCAATGATGACTGTGGATTCTGCCAAGTAGTCTGCAGTGAGACAGAAGCATGCATGCATGAGGTGTGCCCTCCAGAGAAATAGAAAAGTTCTGAGGGCATCCTAATCAATTTGTTCCTCCTCTTCTTACTATTTAGTTTTCAATCATTTCTTCAATTGCGTGTGATACTTTAATATTCTTTCAATGAATTATCCTTCTTGCCAAAATAAGTTCTATCAATTTTTTCTGTCCTTTGCAATTCAAATTGCTATGACTAACTTACATTGAATAACACCTCAAAGTACCTGATTCACTGAAGGATTTGAGGTGGAAAAATCTTACTTCCCCATCTTCCTTTTTCTGTTTGGTGCAAACCTTCTGTTCCACTCCCCAAGTGGGGGTAGTGTTGAGAAAATTCTTTCTCCTCCTCTATTCGAGCTTTTCAAGGAAAAGAAAAGTAATCTGGTAGGAACATGACAACTTGAACAAACAATGTAACTATGGTTATGTCTACTGTTCCTAGAAGCATAAAAAATATCTTTCTCTTTCTCTTGGGACCAGTATCTTGATTATACAGAAGAACAAAAGGCTCACTCTCCTCTTCCCATATTGGTAGTTGCACAGCAGATTTAAGGCCTATTTTTCTATTGTTTTCCAGTAATGAAATTTGTGAGGTTGGCTGACTTATGGCTCGTGGAATTGGTTTTGTGGAATTCTCTCTTCTAACAGGTGGGTCAAAAAGAAAAAAAAATGGTATGGTTAAAGAGAACGTCTCCAGTTGCATCTGATCGCAGCTGTATTCTCTAATTCAGATTTAAAAGGAAGTCTTTACGTGTATGAGGACATTAAACCCTCAGTGACAAAGTTTACACCATGATCCTCATTAAGTTCCCTGAATTTTATCTGTAAAGGATAACCTTTAAGACCAGGTGGAGAGAGGAGTAATTGGCATTTCTGGCAACACAACAATATTGAGAGAGTTATCTGTATTATCAGTTTAATATACACTCACAGATATTCAGGATTTTGTCCATGTTTTGATACTTTATTCTCCTTCAATAGGAATCCAATATTTTTTAATTAATGAGAAAAGAAAAACACTATCTTTTTTCCATGTTTTATGTGGAAGAAGCAAACATCATCTATTTTCTATCACTCATCACAGAGTCAACAAATGTTTTCTGATCAGCAACTGTAATGTCAGGTTCTGTGTGCAGTGCTAGGAAACAGATAAAACATATATGCCTGCCCTCAGTGTGTTTAGGACATAAGCTTATTAACTTTGTTCAGAGATTTTTCTCTTTTATCAGAGATTTCCCTTAGGATACAGGGAAAGTGTATTATACTCACTTGCTATAAAAATGTCTACTTATAATAGGGTATAAAACACTGAAATGTCTTTTATAATATGTTGATATTATAAAACATGAAAGAACACAGGCTGGGCATTTGGCTTACACCTTTTCTCTAGAATAAACTAGATAAGTGTCATTTCATGAGTTATTTAATCTTTGAAGGCTTTGATCTTCTCATCTATAAAATGGGAGTAGATTTTGTTGTACAGATTAAATAGACAAGCATATGTCCTGTAAATGTCAATGCAGACACTTATGCTAAGTGAGATCAGATGGAATGCTGGTGATTTTCCACTTAGGCCATGCATTCTATACAGTAATAGGATCCTCAAGTGAGTAAAAAATGGTTATTAAGAGTAAAAGCATCTTACTATTTTGATGGGTAAAGCACAAATACACATACAGTATATAAAAAGATACACACTTTATCTGTAGTACTCAAATTTCATAGGGGAGGTGATTGAGAAAATATTTAAAAAGACTGTTTGTTTAACTGGGTTGAGTTTAAAATGTTGAAAAACTGACCTAGGGAATAATCTAGTTTCTTCCTAACATACTTACAAGACCATGTGAACATTACTTCTTCTATGTTCCATTTCTAAAATTTGTGAGGGCATTTATTAGCAACCTTTCCTTTTCTACCTTATATGGTTGTGGTGAAGATCAAACGATAATGTGTATGCAAATATTTTGAAGTGTAAAAAGTCCTACATGTTATCAAACATCATTATTGATTTTCTCCCATGATGGGCAAAAATAAAATACAGTTCTTAAACAGAAAATATAATATCTCATGATTTGAGACAACTCACATTCCCAGCTCCTTTACAATTGGAGGTGATGCTGGTGACCATTTTGAAATGTGGTTCTTCTACTTGACAGATTTAGTTATATTACTAAATACACTTTAAAAGAAGGTTGCCTGTTTCTCAACTTAGGAAAATAGTGTAGGAAGCAATTCTCTTTTCCTTCAAGTACATCAGTTTTTACTTTTCAGGTCCTGTGTCCCAACCTACACTCCTCAAATCACACATATTATCCTTGAATGTCTAATGTTGTCTAAAATTGCTTGATCACATGGATAATTTTTCTCTATTTCAGTATTATGTTTACTTTAATCTAGTTTATTTATTCTCCGCTCAAAAAAAAGTATTGAAGACCAACTATTATTTGGACTCTGTCCTGGGCACTGGATCTACAATAGTGACTAGAATAGACAATATTCCTAGCCATATGATGCTAACAATGGTAAATTTTACATTAGTTAGGTGCTCCTGGAAAACAATAAAAATTAAGAAACCCTCTCATCATTTTGTGTTTTCAGATAGGCCTACTACTGCAAGGCACTATCATTCCCCGTATGAACTATATATATAAGATTCATGGATGCCCCATTGTTTACCTATGACAAGGCCAGACGCAGGCCCTCCAAATTTCCTTTCATTCATAAATATTAGCTGAACTGCTTGCATCCATGGACCAATCTGGACAAAATACCTGCTATTTTGGCTTGATCAAATTTTAGCTAGGCTTCTCTCCTTCTGCAAGACCCTGAACTTGAATCCACCTTCAGCCAGAGGCAGCCTACAACCCATCCTTTAGGACCTTTTTGAGAATAGCTGATCTTAGCATAAAAGAGTCTGTCATCTACTATCCTATCAAACAACTCTTTCATCCCACCCTCTGGCATCCACTGAGCCTTGTTTACTATTCCCTGTAAATGGAAAGCCCCTTTCTGACAAACCTTTCAGATCCTTCCAGTTCTCATGGTCAGAGTATTCCATTTAATGAAGTCATTCCCCCAATCTATTGCAGTAGTCTTCTTCTCTCCTATTGCAAATATATGTTTGAGTCTCTCCTACCGTCACTCTGGATTTTCTTTTAATTTGGCAGTGCTTATATACAAATGGATGTGAATTATTGTGCATAATACAATATTAAATTATCCAATATCTAATCCTGAGCATAAAGTTTATAATGTTCTTCTGAAACTTAAGGAAGTTTGTGAGTATCCTCTAGTTTTCATTTCTGCTCTCCATTTATAACAGGTAACACATGGGCATTTGACCTATATGGAAAACAACGTAAATTTATTTCAAGGACAATATTATCAGACTGTGATGGCTATTGGGAATCCAGTAGTAAGGGTTCCCACCCAAAATGCAGTCTCTGGAAGAAATGATGATCTGACTATTAATTTTTTTTTGGTTTGGTTGGTTGGTATAGACTCACATGTGATTCATTTATACCATCCTCTATAAACCTCAATCCAGGTTTTTCCCAAATTATTTTATTAATTTCCATGACACTGTCATCTCATTTTTCGATTACCATTGCCAAAACACGTGGACGCTTTCCCCTATTTGACCTATTAGTTGCCTGGAAGCCTACCAGTAAGAATAAATCTGTCTCTCTCTCTCTCTCTCACAGACACACACACACACACACACACACACATACACATACACACACACACACACACACATACACACACACACACACAGAATCATTCCTTCTAGATTATCTGGATTCTTAGTCTTTGTTTATATGTTGCCTTCGTGGTCTTGTTTTTTGCAAATATAATAGATAAATTTGGCCTATTTTTCTCGGGTCAGGTAAACCTGTTAAAGCCAAAAACAAAAACAACTTCTTGACCCACAACACATAACTTTTACTTCCAAGCAACTATGTTAAAGATCACTTTAATTATCATCAGCTACTATCAACTGTGTTATTCTTTTGACCTGAAATTTATAGCTGCTCAAAAACCTTAAGGTGGTAACATAAAATGAAAGCAAGTGCTGATTTTAAATATGGAAATTACAAATTGGGAATTTACAGCTGAAATCCACGTTTGTGCTGAAGCCAGTGGAAGTGAAGAAGGG
Source organism: Homo sapiens (assembly GCF_000001405.40). Classification (NCBI taxonomy): domain Eukaryota; kingdom Metazoa; phylum Chordata; class Mammalia; order Primates; family Hominidae; genus Homo; species Homo sapiens. Next base: position 39,501,761 of record NC_000011.10, on the reverse strand, counting down.
AAATTGTTGTAGTAAAAATGAAAAAGTAAAGAAGGGTGATATTTTTACTCATTAGTAAAAGAGCTTTAGTTTGGGTCTGCTTCTTAGTTTTTCCTTTTCCAATTTTTTTCAAAGGAAATGAATGATTTAAATATGAAGCAACATTTACAAAGGAGACAGAATGCTTTCATGTTCTTTCAACTGTCTGTATGTAAAGATAACCAGGATTCAATAAGTTATAAATACAGATCAAATGAAGGACATGTGAAGAATACCTAGTACCCACTCTCTTTTCACTTAATAAACGTAAGGATTAATGTTTTACAACTTTTCACTGAAGTACACTTGGCTTTCCCTGAACCTCTCTCTCATTCTAAATATCACATTCCTTCAACATGAAAAATGGAATGACAGCAATAAAACTTTTTCTTTCTTTTTTTGTGATTTGCAAAACATCTGAGAATAGGGAGCCATCTGCTACTGTCATGTAAACAGGCCAAAATGACTGGGTAGAGGAGAACAAGTCTGGTATTACAGCCACATCTGCTGGCCCAGATCTCAGCCGGGCTCCTGCCCCAGAGGTGTGGAAGACCCAGGGACACCAATTCTGGCAAGTATTTTGGGGTCATGCTGGTGTTCTGCAGAACAAGGAACAGCTGCAAGGAGCAGAGGTGATACAGCAGGTTGTGAAATGATATATGGGCTTATGTCAGAGTCATTAAGCATTTCTGATAAATGGGCTGCAAATTAATTGCTGGTTCTACTAATTAATTTATTTGAGTTGCTGAAATCCTCAGGCCTGGCTGTGGTTGTTAGCAGAGCAGAGCGATACTTCAACACGGAGAGTATTTATTTTTCCCTCAAATAAAGAATTTGGATTTGGGCTTAGTTGTTGATGCAGCTTTCCAAAACATATCAACAATAAAAATATTAAATAATTCAAAAATACTTTTAATGCCTAGAAATATTTGAGTAGTGATTTTTGGAATCAGAAGAGTAATCAGAGTACACATTCTCATAAATTGCTATTGGATGGCCTGTGGAATGTACCGAATGCAAGCAACAGGCCTACACAGAATTATCATTGTTTTAATTGGCTAAGTATATACTTCTGCCCTAAAAGGGAAGCTGAGCCATCTAAATGGCAAGATTAGGAGAAAGTAGACATATGTGCCCATGTAATTCAGAAATAAATTCTGAGGTTTTCGTATATATATGCACACACAGATATGTGTATATATATATATATGCATTATGGATTTGAATATATGTGTGTATATATACATACGTACATACACATAACTTTTTTTCTTGTTTTAAATGAGAATTCTTTCTTAAGAGGAAAAAATATTTTTGTCCAATATGTGTCAATATATCTCAATGGATTGGTATTATATAAAGGAAATTTAAACTGTATATTTTATACACATAATCAGAAATCCCTAAATATACTTGTTTAAAAATAACTATAACTAAAAGCATATATTTTAAATATATCCTTTGAAATATACTTCAATTTTAAAATGTATTTGCTACATTAATTTAAATTTTAATAATTTAATTTAAAATATATTGTCTACATATTTTTCTTTTTAATTTGATTACACAAATAATATATGTACATTTTTGTGACAGGTCTCACTCTGTCACCAGACTGTAGTGCAGTGAAGCAATATAACTCAGTTTTTTCTTTAAAAATCGAGTGCAGAAATAGATTCAAAATTGAGAATCCCTGAACCCTCACCTTTTCATAGAGATAAGCATAGAGATAACCGTAAATTATAGAGATAACCATAAATTATGCTTTCATAGAGATAGCCATAAATTATTATGCTTTATTAAACATACGTGGAATTAAAATTTATATAGTTTTGGAATACGAGTATATTATGTATATGTATACAGCACACATATATTTATATGTGTTACATGCTATGCTTTTCCTTGTGCTCACTTAATAGTATTTTTAATCATCTTCCCATGTCCATTGATTTAGTTACCTTTTTAATGGCTTTAAAATACTTTTTTTATAGATGACCATAATATTTTAAATTAAAACCCATAAATGGACATTCAGATAATTTTCAACTTTTTATTGTCACAAACTATTTTTCAGCTTGGAGTGGTGGTCCACACCTGTAATCCCACCACTTTGGGAGGCCGAAGTGGGCAGATTGCTTGAACTCAGGAGTTCAAGACCAGACTAAGCAAACCTTGTCTCTTCAAAAAGTATAAAAATTAGCCGAACACAGTGGTGGACACCCGTAGTCCCAGTTACTTGGGAGGCTGAGGTGGGAGGATTGCTTGAGCCCAGGAGGCAAATGTTGTGGTTGCGATAAGCAGAGATCATGCCACTGCACTCTAGCTTGGGCAACAGAGCCAGACACTGTCTCAAAACAAAACAAAACAAAAAACAATTCTTTGTTGATAATCTTAATACGTAACATCTTATATATGTGTGTGCTATTTCTTTTAAATAAATTGCTAAAAGTAGAATGTTCTGCAAACATACATGCACATAGTTAATTTTAATATTCTGTCACCAACTGATATTGTTTTAACGAGTTAAAACAAAAAGGTGACAGAAGTGATAAAGTGAAAGCAGTTAAAATAGGAAGTAATGATATTTTGTAACAAAATATGCTTGCCATCCCTTTTTAATACTCTTAATTATGATTAACTTTCTCTGAATACTGACTTCCCTTTAAAGTGTATGTTAATTATTACCTATTGAATAGGAATCATCATTTGAAGGTGGATGTGTGGTACGTGCCATAGAGGATCAAAAGGGTGAGCTCAATGTAAAAGTTTTGAATAGTTATTAGGCACATAAATGCGAAGATTGGGAAAATTAAGATATCTTTCCAACACCTAAATTATTGACCATATTTGCATTGGATTTTAGCTAACAAGAAATAATTGGGTTTTTTTTGTTTGTTTTTTCTTTTTTGAGACGGAGTTTTGTTCTTGTCGCCCAGGCTGGAGTGCAATGGAGTGGTCTCAGTTCGCTGCAACCTCCGTCTCCCAGGTTCAAGCGATTCCCCTGCCTCAGCCTCTTGAGTATCTGGGATTACAGGTTTGGCTATGTTGGCCAGGCTGGTCTCGAACTATTGACCTCAAGTGATCTGCCAGCCTCGACCTCCCAAGTGCTGGGATTATAGGTGTGAATCACCATGCCTGGTCGAAATAAGTTATTTTAAACAAAAAGTAAATCTAGCTAAACTCATCTCAAAAAAAAAAAAAAAAACAACAACAACAACAAAAAAAAAAACTAAAAAAAGGCTACACTGGCAAATAATTAGTACTGAAATAAGGTTCACCTTGCAGGAGAACTAACAATTGTTCTGGAAGAAATGGATAGAAACAAAAGTATTTCTGCTTTATTTCTTAACCTGAGTAGTCGGTCCATCACTCTCTTATATGTGCATGGAAATATACCTTTCTGGCTGTTCTGAACTTTGCATAAAATATTTAAAGTGTTCAGAAGTCATATCAATAAAATGTAGCTTATTGAAATGTTTTGTAATTATGTGTAAGATCGGTACAACCAGACACGTATTTAAGGACATGTATTTGACAGAGGAAAAGGACATCTTTCTGTCTAGTACATCTATGTTCTTTGTCCTTGTTTTGTTCTCCATAGCTAGTTACTGGACACTAGTCATAAAAAAACCAATTGACTAATTATTCACAACTCAGGAGGCATGAATGCTTTTTAGAAGATTTTCAAGATTACAGCTGTATTCCCTAATCAAAAGCAGCTGGATGAAATTTTCCCGGGGGATATTAACTCCTAAATTTTCCAAAGTAGCACCTGGAGACTTAAATTAGCCTCTATATTTTTCAACCACTGTATTTTTTTGATCTCATCTGTTATTTAAATGATCTAAAACTTTATGCTCTTGTGTTGCAAGTTGATAAATGTGCAAGAATATCCAAAAAAAAAAAAAGTTGTCCAAAGATCAAGTTACTGAAATTCCACTATATGGTCCCCAGAAAAAGATATTCTTTTCCTAGTGACTCTGCTTATACAACTAAAAGTTTTATTTACCTAACATGTCTCTTGAATTGCATGCTTAAAAATCTCTTGGTATCATAGGAAGTACTGTAATTTAGCTCTGAAATCATACAAAGCCAGGTTCAAATTTCAGTCCTGTGAATTATTAGTTATATGACTTTGGGCAAGTTATCATAACCTCTTTGTACCTCAGTTTTCTTCTTATGTTTGGGCCTGTGAAGTAAGTTGTAGAAAAAAATCACTTTTTTTCAATTTAACATGAAAATAATATTCTTAGTTTGGAAATTGAGCTCAAACAACTAACAAATTTGCCTAAAGTAATTTATCCATTTCTATTAAGAAATAAGATTCATCTGGGTTCTAATTTATTTGCAGCATACATAATACATCTCTAGATAAATGATTTTGATGACACAATACATCAAAATCTTCAGTTTTGGTATATTAGAAGAAATATCCAATTGTAAAAACTAGTTTATTTAACATACAGCCTTTCTGAATTCAACTGTTGAATTTGTATTGCCAGGGTTCCGTATTTATAGAGCTAAATATAATGCTTTTACATGTAATAAAATCCTCAACATTTATTATGCAATTTTATTACCAGACATTCTATGAGTTTCATATTTTACTAACTCACCTTGTGAGGTTGGCTATCATCATAATTCCTGGTTTCCAGATGAGAAAACTGAGAAACAGAAATATTTTGAAACTTACCCAAGTTTACAGTTAGTGCATGTCAAAGTAATGATGCACTCTCAGGTGTATTGTCTCCTTAGCATATGCCTTAGCCATTAGGCTTCTTTGCTCACTCTCTTTTACTGAGTCGAAAGGAGTTGTATTTTTAGCAAGTTTAAATGTATATCATTTACTATTGGAATCATATTTTCCACTGACTTTTACCTGTCTATTTTTGTTAGAAATGTCTACTTATGTGTGCTATTTACTCAAACTGAGACACAAATTAAACATTCCCAATTGAGTTACATTATCATAAATTTTTTAACTGGGTAAACAATTCCTTTAAAAGCCTACAGGAAGAACTTTAAAATGCATCAATTTTGACAAAAGCAATGTTTCACACAATGTATTCCATGAAACACTAATACCACTTAAGTATCTGTTTGGGATTTCCAGGTCGGATAACTTTGGCTATTTCTGCCCTTTGACTGAAGATCATAATGCAAATTTTTAAACTGTCAAATTAAAGATATTGAAAGTCTTGAAGCAGAGAAGTTTAATCCAACATTTTCTAAACTTGGTTGACCAGAAAACCTTTAATAAATGAGTATCCAGCTTCTAAGCATTCTGTAGAATATATTCTGGGAAATGCTAATTTATGCAACCCATCATGACAGGGGGATTTGAATTCTTTGACACATGCTTTGCATTCTATTTCAATGTTTTAAAGACCCAAAAACTCAGAAGCATTTTCTGTTTCCACTTTCCAGCCCATATTTTAAATCAACAGTTCTGCTAATAATCATGAGTCCTTGAGATAATCACACATAAGCTATTATTTGCTGATGATTGTGCCCCATCAGATATGCAAACCCACATGGCCCAATGCAAGCAACATGAAGATAGTCTTATGGTGTCATGATGCACACTGGCAAACAGATAAAGGAAGGTTTATAAAATAAGAATACTGAAATTTGAAAAATATATAATACACCTTGGATACACAACATTTCCCAATCCTGTACATAGTCGTAAGCAAAATTAAAAAAAAAAAAACCCACCTCCACAGCCCTCCAAAAACATGTGATAGTATTTTCTAAAGAATGGTGATCAGTCTATAGCTTGTGCACACAAGCAGTTCAATAAATATTTGCTGAGTGAATGAAAGGAAGAATGAAACAGGCTGTGAAGCTCTAATACAAGATACTGCTTGAGCAGCTACAAAGTCCACAAACAACAGGACTGTTTTTATATTCACCCAGTACGGAAAAGCCTACTAATCTCTTCATTGTTACCTACCTGTGGAGTTTTAATCGTTATTGGTAACATCATCTCATCACAGGAAGCCCATGGGTATATAAAGCCTGAAGGAAAACTTATACTTGCTCTTGTTTTATAAAAAATATTTTATAAAATATCATACCTGTCAAGGTATTTTTTTTCATAGCATATGACTGCCCTTATATTTCTCAGTGCTGATAATCTGCTTTTTGAAATTATCTCTACTTTTGAATTATCTCTACAATTTTTTCTACTTTGTAAACTTTTACTCTGTTTTCTTCAGACACTTCACTACAGGGAATCACATCCCTTTTCCTCTCTTCATTTTCTTATACTCTTCCTTTCACTCTCTTTTCAATGTCATAATCTGTTCCTTTTCAATGTCATAATCCCAATTATTTACAAAAGAAAGTGGTTTGCAAATGTTTCTCTTAAGTTAGACATGACTTTAACAAAATGTTGCATCTGACATTTTTAACTTCTGCAGAGCTTTTTTCTATTTAAATATTCCACTGACAATTGAAAAAAAATCCAAAAAAAATTATAGTCCATTCTAAAGCCAGTTCCACTTCCACCCTCTCTCTGGAGCCCTGTTGGCTCTTTCCAAAGAAGTGCTATCTTCTTATATTCTAGAACCTGGTGTTATTTTCAATTACAAGTCACAGTTCTAGGAATTGAATTGTCCCATTCTCAATTTGCTCACCTGAACTAGTCATCTACAGAAGCAGAGTCAATATAATCTCTAGCTGACCCATTTTGAGAGAGCTAAGCACTAACACTTACCTACTTTCCTTCTGCAGGCAACTAGTGGGATTAATTGTTTGGAAAAATCTGTGTTCCAACAAGAGATGCCTTGCAGCCCTTTTATGCTTCTGCTTAACATATTAGTAACTCTAGACAATGATATTTTCAAAGACCTAAATTGCACTTCCTTTTACTTAACCTAACCTCTTGATTATTGCTCTTCCATCTCTGACTTCCAGAATTTCTGGAGTCTTCGTGTACTTTCACACCTCCTGGACTCCTTAAAACACAAGGTCCCCTAAAGGATAATACTTCCACTACATTTCTCTTGAGTATATGCTGTTCATTCTCCTACAACTCATGGGCTTGAAGGAGTATCGGCAAGTACCCAGATATACTTAAGGGTCTGTTGCTACTTCTATATGTGAAAAACTAGAGAAAGAAAAGAAAAATTCATATATATGAGTACCTTTCTATATATATAGACAATCTTTGTGGTTCTCATTTGTGTCATCGACTGTTAACTTGAACACCATTTCTTACATTTGGAAAACTTTGTGACCTGTCTCACAATTCTCTTCCTATTGCAAGTCCTACCATCATATCTTCCCAGACATTGAAACTTAGACCTACTTGAAGCCAACTTGGTAGCATGTTTATCGGGGAAACCCACCCCCAATATTTCAACATAGGTTCTTTCTATTTTCCCTAAGTGTTGGCCAGTCTGAGAAATAAAGAAAAAGAGTACAAAGAGAGGAATTTTACAGCTGGGCCGCTGGGGGTGACATCACATATTGGTAGGTCCGTGATGCCCCCTGAGCCGCAAAACCAGCAAGTTTTTATTAGGGATTTCAAAAGGAGAGGGGGTGTATGAACAGGGAGTAGGTCACAAAGATCACATGCTTCTGAGGCCAATAAACATCACAAGGCAAAGGGCAAAGCACAGATCACAAGGCAAAGGGCAAAATTAGAATTATTGATGAGAGTCTATGTTTGGCTGTGCACATGTTGTCTTGATAAACATCTTAAACAACAGAAAACAGTGTTCGAGAGCAGAGAGCCGGTCTGACCTCAAATTCACCAGGGCGGGATTTTTTCCCCACCCTAATAAGCCTGAGGGTACTGCAGGAGACCAGGGCATATTTCAGTCCTTATCTCAACCTCATAAGACAGACACTCCCAGAGCGGCCATTTATAGACCTCCCCCAAGGAATGCAATTCTTCTCCTAGGGTCTTAATATTTAATATTCCTTGCTAGGAGAAGAATTTAGCGATATCTCTCCTACTTGCACGTCCATTTATAGGCTCTCTGCAAGAAGAAAAATATGGCTCTATTCTGCCTGACCCCACAGGCAGTCAGTCAGACCTTAAGATTGTCTCCCCTTGTTCCCTAAAATTGCTGTTATTCTGTTCTTTTTCAAGGTGCACTGAGTTCATATTGTTCAAACACACGTTTTACAATCAATTTGTACAATAGTGGTCCTGAGGTGACGTACATCCTCAGCTTACGAAGATAATAGGATTAAGAGATTAAAGTAAGACAGGCGTAAGAAATTATAACAGTGTTATTTGGAAACTGATAAATGTCCATGAAATCTTCACAATTTATGTTCAGAGATTGAAGTAAAGACAGGCATAAGAAATTATAAGAGTATTATTAGGGAAGTAATAAATGTCCATGAAATCTTCACAATTTATGTTCCTCTGCCATGGCTCCAGCCAGTCCCTCCGTTCGGGGTCCCTGACTTCCTGCAACACATATAGCCAGGTTAAGATGTCAAAAACTGAACATCTTTCACTTGGTATTCTATTAGAATTATTATTGAGATGAAGTTTCACTCTTGTCACCCAGGCTGGAGTGCAGTGGCATGATCTCAGCTCACTGCAACCTCTGCCTCCCAGGTTCAAGCAATTCTCCTGCCTCAGCCTCCTGAGTAGCTGGGATTACAGGTGCCTGCCACCATGCCTGGCTAATTTTTTTTTTTTTTTTTTGGTATTTTTAGTAGAGATGGGGTTTTGCCATGTTGGCCAGGCTTGTCTTGAACTCCTGATCTCAGGTGATCCACCCACCTCAGCATCCCAAAGTGCTGGGATTACAAGCATGAGCCACTGCACCTGGCCAGATATTCCATTATTATCATAACTTGAAATTTCTTTATTACCCTATTTTTCTATGGCAAGCCTATTTAATTTTTACTTCATTTTTTCCACTTGAGAATTCACTCTGCACTTCAACTAATTTCTTGTCAATATCTTTACTTTCTTTTATTGTTTTCTGACACAACCAGCTCACAAAATTTCAATCCATTATCTACTCTCACTTTCATCTTTTCTAGATCCAATTATTCTCCAAAACTATCAGATTTAAGCATACTCAGATTCTTACATCTTTAAAAGAAAAAGTCTTATGTTCAGAACCTCCTCATATATCTAGTGACTGCATTAACTTTCTTCCTTCCTTTAATAGCCACACTTTCTATCTCTACATGTTTATTAGGTATAATACACATTGCAAAACATAGAAGATAGATAATAGATATCTATACACTTGTGTCTATATATGTTTGTGTGTGTATATGTGTATATATTTATATGTGTGTGTGTGTGTGTGTGTCTATGTATGCTTGAAGACATTTTATAATTAGCTATTTATTCTTCCAAGGCAACAACTAGGACTTATTTAGATTTGCTTCTTCAACATCTAAAATAATGCTTGAAACATAGAAAGTACCTAATAAACATTGTTGCATGAGTTAATACTTGATTTAATAAATATGTGTTGAGGCAATCCAATCAGCTTGTGGCTATAGTTTTTCATCATTTTATATGTAGAATTATATTTTTAATATTTTTTTCTGTCTATTATTACTTATCTTTCTTTGAGCTTAATCTTGAAGTACTCTGAGATAAGTAAAATATCTCTTAAGGACTTTATTAATTTGACATAGTTTGGGTGATCGTCTGTTGTTCTCTTTTTTTCTTAATGGACTCTAGAGACTTGACAAATCCATCTTGTTCAAGTGTAATTGTGGTATCACTGGCTTTACTTTCTCACTCAGCACTATAACAGAACTATGAAAAGCATAAGAAAAGTCCAATTAGGGTTCACATATCCTAGAGGGAAACCAAGTCTTTTTAATTCCAAATGTTCTGCTTCTAGGACTAAAAAGTAGAAACCAGTTATTATTTTCAACAGTTACTAGTATTAATCATTTTCCCTTAAAATTATTCCCCTTTACCTACACATAAAGCCAAAATACGATTATAATGTTCATAGAATTTCAATGGTCCACCCTCTCCTCTATTTCTATGGCCCTATGTGAGAAATACCCCTGTGAATAGAATAACATATATCCTTCAGGATCTCACAGATTCATGAAGACTCAAAAATAAAATGGTAATTCACTAATGCACTTTCAGCCAAGCCAAACTGCTCTGAGCAACCTGTGCTCTTTCACACCTAGTTATGTTTACACTTGCTATTGTTCCTCCTTGAAATATTACCACGGAGTTCCCCTGCACTTACTCAGTTACTTCCACCTGTCCTTCGAAGTTCAACTGAGATATTAGCTCTTCAGAGCAACTTTTACTGCTACTTCGCCTAACAGATTTTAGTTTTTTTCCTCTGAACTTAATTGACATTTTGTTCCACATTTACAATATCATCGTGGTATAAGTATTAGTAAATTAGTGTTTTATTTTTGAGTCATCATGAATCTTTGAGATCCTGAAGGATATATGTTATTCTATTCACAGTTGTATTTCTTGCATAGGGCCACACAAATAGGAACCATACTGGGAAATGAAACCATTAGTCTATACTCAGCCTGGACACCAATAATTAAAACGTTACTGCCTAAATCAACCTGACTTTGCTATTACACTGTCATTATTAACATGACTTTATTTTCCTGAAAGCCTCGTGCCCAGGCAAATGGCTTGATTCTTCATTATAGGAACATGCTGAAAACTGTATAAATTCTTCAATAGAAAACATTAACAGTTTGTGCCCTAAAATTGTTTTTGAGGCAAAAATCTTCTGCCTTGAAATCTTGCTCTTGTTTCCACCAAGGGAAGCTATTATGGTCCTTTCCAATCCCAATCAAGTGTTTATATTGAAAGACTTGCCTTAAACCAAACTTCCAATTCTCAATAAATTTCTACCTTTCCATCCAACCTTGAGGAAATTGTCAAAGTTATGCAGAGGTGATGATCTCTTTCTCTAGTGATAAAAGACTCAGATTTGTCTTATCAACAGATTAATTAGTTGAATTAGAGTAAACTGAATATCACATTTGTTGCTTAAAAATGTGGGTTAAGTAAAACTCCAGATTCTTTATAATATAGTGTATTAAAATTTAGGTAGATAAAATTTTATGATGTTTCAGGCCCATAGATTTAGATCATTTGTAAACAAAATCTAGTCAATGACATTTTATACATAACTATTATTAGTTGGCAGAAGCTCAGATATAGCCACAAAGTAATAGTAGGAAAACATTTATTAGATACCAACTCAGTGTCAGTTGGCCTGTGCTTTCTACAAGCTATCTCCTTTTGCTTAGATTTTAAAGATTTCAGTTTATTTAAATCAAACTTGTAAATCATTTTAGACTCTTTATAGTATTTCCAATTTGCGCTAAATGGTTAACATGCATTTAAAATGTAATCAGGCCCAACACTGATTCATTATCTGGCTCAATGGTTCATTGGTTCACTCACTCACCATACAGCCAAAAGCATTATCACAGACCAGCCTGCATTTGTCATCAGGAGCAAACTACCATACAAAGGTAATGCCCACATCAGACTTATATCTTTAAGCCAGGATGATTCATCCACTTATCAAGCACCTGATATTAGAAATGAGCCATCAAAACACACCATTATTTGTCCTATGAACACTCTGACACACCCTCTTTTTATCTCTATTTGTCCAAGTCTGCATGTATCTTTCACTTATGATCAGCAAACAAGATAAAAAAGGATTATGTAAAAAGCAGTTTCTCCTGAAAGAGCTATTGCAGAAAATTCATGGAAGAGGTGGAGTTTGAACTGACCCATGAATATGAAATTCTCTAATTTCTACCTTTATGTACCTTTGGTTGTATCTTGTCTCTCCACTTCTGGCTTTGTACGTATCAGTTCAAGCTTGAATTTGACCTGTCAGCTTCCTCTATACAGAATGTTAGCCACTTTGACCTAAACCTGCTGATTTAATTCTTAGCTCTTGCCTACCTGCACATGTTGGATTATCTTTTAGTTAGAAAAAGAAACAGGAAATCACATACTCATGTAAACTATGTAATTGAGCACATGCAATGCTATAGAGTGAGGAGAGGGAGGACAGTGGCTTTTTCTCCTCATTTTCTGTTCCTAGACCCCACAACAGATGATCTCATCATACAGGTCTTCTACTCCTTAAGATAGACAAGATTGATGAAAGACTGGAAATGACTTTGCCTGGACCATGATTCAGCGACACTGTCCCTGTGGCAAGACTATTGGCCAGGTACTGCCAAAGGTCTCGAAGAGGATTGGGTTTTAGGGCACCATCCACATAAGATATATTAAGCCAACAAGGTAGCCTCATGGCTTAATGAGGCCTTAACTCTCTTAAAGCGCTTTTCATTCTATTATTCAGGCTCAAACGCAGTGGCTGATCCTCACTGACTCCTCTTCCTAAGGTTGTTGTACTAGGAGCATCTCCTAACACTACACGGACACAATTCAATGACAAAAATCAGAGAAGGTGGGTCTATTCCTAATTGTTATAAGTTCAAATGTTTTACCTTGCTGAAGAAGTGCAAATATAATAAGAATAAATATTAGTCAAGTGTCAGCCATATTATAAACAGCAATGTGAAATAATTTTTAGGTCAGGTGAGGTGGCTCACGCCTGTAATCCTAGCACTTTGGGAGGCCAGTGTGGGTGGATTGCCTGAGCTCAGGGATCAAAACCAGCCTGGACAACATGGTGAAACCCTGTCTTTACTAAAAATACAAAAACATTAGCCGGGTATGGTGGCGTGCACCTGTAGTCCCAGCTACTTGGGAGGCTGAGACAGGAGAATCACTTGAACCCAGGAGGTGGAGGTTGCAGTGAGCCGAGACTGTGGCCACGGCACTCCAGCCTGGGCTACAGAGCAAGATTCCATCTCCAAAAATAAAAATAAAAATAATTTTTAATTTACTTATCCATAGTAGTGCATATAAAGCATTCAGTATGGTTTTTATCCTGTATTATTTTCCAAAATTACTATATTTTGTTGCACAGCAGTCACATTTAATAAATCAGGGATTTAAATTCTAAGATAATATGTGACTTTTACAAGTTCAAACAGAAAACCATAACAGAAATTTGATTCAGGTTTTTGGCTGGGTGCGGTGGCTCACGCCTGTAATCCTAGCACTTTGGGAGGCCGACGCGGGCAGATCACGAGGTCAGGAGATCGAGACCATCCTGGCTAACACAGTGAAACCCTGTCTGTACTAAAAAAATACAAAAAATTAGCCGGGCTTGGTGGCGGGCGCCTATAGTCTCAGGTACTCGGGAGGCTGAGGCAGGAGAATGGCGTGAACCCAGGAGGCAGAGCTTGCAGTGAGCCAAGATTGAGCCACTACACTCCAGCCTGGGAGACTCCCATCTCACAAAAAAAAAAAAAAAAATTTGATTCAAGTTTTTAAAGCCCTGGGTATTTCTAGAGCCCTGGAGGCATTATTAAAATATGGAAATATTTGGGCTCAAAGATCAACATCCGTATTCATGCCTTGTCTTTCATTTAATATACTTAAAGATGTAATGTTCAAAGTTCTCAAATAAAAGCATTTACAATTTCATCTGAAATTGCTAAGCATCTCATAAAACCTGAAAATCATTAATATGCTGAGTATATTCATTCTTTGCCTTTAAGGGATCTGGTCTGTATTTAAAGACTGAATTATTTATTATAGCTTTGCTGTTTAGAATCAGTTTTTTTTTTCAAAATCACTCTTATAAGCTGTTCTTAGTTAGATGTGGAAATACTCAGGGCTACAACATACCTTTCACTATTAACCACCCTGATTGACAGATCAAAGGATTTAGATGCTCTTGAACTAACAATAATTTTACTTAGGCAAACATCAAGAGTCCAAATGGTTTGAAAATGCATATGTGTTCCTTGAATAGATTTTTACAAAATAAATCAGGTACGTGCCAAGTCCCTCACCTGTAGGAACATAATATTATTTTTCTCTCTGAATTAAATTATGGTAAAAATCCTAAGAGACCAAACAAAATCTGGATGATTTTGCCGAAACACCCCCAAGAATAGAATTCATGGGATTCAGGTGCACAATCTCCGTATAAATTAAGGACTGGGGCTGTGGCTTTTGAAGGAAAAAAAAGATAGAAAAAGAATTAAAAGTTTGCCATCAGAATGGCCTGGCCTTCGATCACACTGAATGCCTCAAAAGTGTATTGCCTGTTCACACAAAGTCCACTATGAGATGGAGTAACTTCCTGGAGCAATTACCCTCTATGCAGAAACTCATTGCTCTAGGTTCACATGCTCTAGTTTTATAGCTGTGCTCTTTGCGATGTGGTGGCTCCTCTGTCCAATTTAGCAAGGAAAGAGAACATTGAAATTTTTCACGTATACATTTAAATCAAAAAGTGACCCACATCAGTCACTTCTGTTCACAACAAGGAAATAATAACATGACCCTACCTAACTGCAAAAGACGTGGAGAATGATAATCCCCCATGTACCTGAAGACAGAGAAGCCAGTAGGGTCTCTCCAGCACCAGTTTTATGGCCAAGGAACACTTACATAACCTCTAAGAGCCTCTGTTTACTCATCTATAAAATGGGAATTTTAGAAATTACTCCATAAGTTTGTTGTGAGTTTGAATTAAATGAATACATGCAAATATCTAGCCTGTGGTCTAGCACACAGCAAAAATTTAAAAAAATGATTCTCTTCTTCCTGTTTTTCTTCCCCTCAACAATTCTGTAACAATTTATTAATTTATATATTTCCAAATGATGTTTCCACTGTGCTGTTCCTATTATTTTATCTCATTTTTCCTCATTTGTATTTTTAAATTTTTTAAGCATTTTGAAAAGTGCTTTCAACTTAACCTATATTTTTCCAAGGAAAACACAAATAAATATTACTAAATAATTTAATAAGACATTTTAAACTATTGTTTCAGTGAGTCATATATTTTATTTTTGGATTATAAATATAAATATTGTATTTTCATAAAACTGTAGATTCAGCTGGAGACTCTGGTTATTCTTCTTTGGTCTAGCTGAGTTCTTGGGTAAAATATTTAAGCATGTGGCATTTACTTTGTGATTATTCTATCTTCCTAAATACTGATAAATCACTACCAGTAGAGTTTATTTTCTTGTATTTCCTATTTCCCCCTTAATAAAGAGCTTTTTTTTTTTCTAATACTTGGTATATCGCATTCTCTGTGGTGGTAGAAGGCCCTTCTCAAGGATTCTCTAAACTGCTCATGAATTTAACAAGAACTAAAGAGGAAGTGTTATAACATCTGTTAAGCCCTTATCACATGCCAAATTATGCTTATAATTTTACATAAGCTAAGTTATTAGCCATCATATAAGTAGGGTATTAGTGTCATTTTAAAAATGAAATATGGACATAAAAGGAAGTTTAAATAACATGGTTGTATTATATGGCCCATGAATGCAGATAGAAGATTTGATTTCAGGATAAATTCTATGCTGTGTATACCATATCACAGTTTGTGTTTGCTAATTGGCCTTGCCCAAAGGAAAAATGAACTTTCTTCCATCTTCATGGCAGGAGGTACTTTTACAACTGGGAGAGAGACTTTCACCCAAATTATGTTCTTACCTTCCCACAGAGACTGGGAGATAGGGCCGCTATCTGCCTTGATAATTACTTTTCAAAGGGATTGCTTTTATGTCCTTGCAAAAGACATTACTGGGCTGTAAAATTAGCAAGAGGTTTTTATAAAAGAGCCCGCATTGCCCATCAATCCTAAGCCAAAAGAACAAAGCTGGAGGCATCACACTCCCTGACTTCAAACTATACTACAAGGCTACAGTAACCAAAACAGCATGGTACTGGTACCAAAACAGAGATATAGATCAATGGCACAGAACAGAGCCCTCAGAAATAATGCCGCATATCTACAGCTGTCTGATCTTTGACAAACCTGAGAAAAACAAGCAATGGGGAAAGGATTCCCTATTGCATAAATGGTGCTGGGAAAACTGGCTAGCCATATGTAGAAAGCTGAAACTGGATCCCTTCCTTACACCTTACAAAAAAATCAATTCAAGATGGATTAAAGACTTAAACGTTAGACCTAAAACCATAAAAACCCTAGAAGAAAACCTAGGCATTACCATTCAGGACATAGGCATGGGCAAGGACTTCATGTCTAAAACACCAAAAGCAATGGCAACAAAAGCCAAAGTTGACAAATGGGATCTAATTAAACTAAAGAGCTTCTGCACAGCAAAAGAAACTACCATCAGAGTGAACAGGCAACCTACAAAATGGGAGAAAATTTTCGCAACCTACTCATCTGACAAAGGGCTAATATCCAGAATCTACAATGAACTCAAACAAATTTACAAGAAAAAAACAAACAACCCCATCAAAAAGTGAGCGAAGGACATGAACAGACACTTCTCAAAAGAAGACATTTATGCAGCCAAAAAACACATGAAAAAATGCTCATCATCACTGGCCATCAGAGAAATGCAAATCAAAACCACAATGAGATATCATCTCACACCAGTTAGAATGGCAATCATTAAAAAGTCAGGAAACAACAGGTGCTGGAGAGGATAGGGAGAAATAGGAACACTTTTACACTGTTGGTGGGACTGTAAACTAGTTCAACCATTGTGGAAGTCAGTGTGGCGATTCCTCAGGGATCTAGAACTAGAAATACCATTTGACCCAGCCATCCCATTACTGGGTATATACCCAAAGGACTATAAATCATGCTGCTATAAAGACACATGCACACGTATGTTTATTGCGGCACTATTCACAATAGCAAAGACTTGGAACTAAGCCAAATGTCCAACAATGATAGACTGGATTAAGCAAATGTGGCACATATACACCATGGAATACTATGCAGCCATAAAAAATGATGAGTTCATGTCCTTTGTAGGGACATGGATGAAATTGGAAATCATCATTCTCAGTAAACTATTGCAAAAACAAAAAACCAAACACCGCATATTCTCACTCATAGGTGGGAATTGAACAATGAGAACACATGGACACAGGAAGGGGAACATCACACTCTGGGGACTGTTGTGGGGTGGGGGGAGGGGGGAGGGATAGCATTGGGAGATATACCTAATGCTAGATGACGAGTTAGTGGGTGCAGTGCACCAGCATGTCACATGTATACATATGTAACTAACCTGCACGATGTGCACATGTACCCTAAAACTTAAAGTATAATAATAATTAAAAAAAAACAAACAAACAAAAAAAAGATTCACACCTCAAGGGGCAAAGAATTTACAAGTTTCCTAAAGTAAATGGTCTAAGAAAAGGGAGAAGAGGGACCTTGTTAGCTAGGTCATCTGTATTCTGTAAGAGTCAGGGTAAGAGGAAAATCTGCGGAATGGAGACAGAAAGAAACCCCTCTAAAGTTTAGTGAAGTGAAGGAAATGTGAAGGCCTTCTTGGTCAACACGATGTTAAGAATTTTAATACAGCTCTTAATTAGAAGTGGAAAAGATAGCGAACAATAGCCCCAAAACAAGCCCTATTGTTCCAAAGAAATCTTTCTCCATTTGTGTGTAGTAGCTAACACCTAAATTCCTGGGTTTAGCAGCAGTGACCATTTGGGCTATAAACGAGCAGCAGAGAATAACGGAGTAGGAACAAACTGTTTAGGGAAGGCTTTTCCCTGGGAAATCTTAGTGAATAAAGCACCAGTTAAAAATCTGGGATGCCAGTTTGTGTGGAGCAGGGGCTTATTGGACTACAAAGAGGAAATAATGGACTCAAAATCTAAAGTCAAATCAAGCTGATAGCCATTCTTGTTCCTTTCTCTAGCAATTTTGCAACCACCACAAACTTTGTGACATCAAGCAACATCTGTTCTATTTTCCTCATGGGTTAGAAATTCAGACAGGACAGAGCAGGAATGGCTTACTTCTACCCCATGAGACTAGGGTCTGAACTGGGAAGACAGTGAATTGGACTCAAGAACCCATTTCCAAAATGGCTTCTTTACTTACATGTCTGTACCCTGATGGGAAAGCTAGAAGGCTGGTCTCAGCCAAAATTGTCAGTAAGAATACCTCTATGTGGCCTCTCCACTGTAGCAGCTTCAGGGTAGTTGAACCCTTTTATGTGACAGCTAAGTGCTCCTATGAGCTTACTCATGGGAAGTAGTATACTCTTTTATGATCTAGCATTTGCAGTCCCACATAGTGACATTTCCAATATTCTTTACTGGCTCACTCAGTGAGAGCCTCAACCAGAATCAAGGGGTGGAGACACAGATCCTTCCCCTCAAGGAAAGAGTGTGCAAGAATCTGCAGTTGTGTTTAAAGCTATCCCAATTCTTAAAGAAGTAAAACTGAGGCAATTTTTAAACTGGAGAAACTCTAAAATTGAAGAGCAGGAGAGACTTCATCGAAAGTTTTGATGTGAATTATGTCACAAAGTAGAGTCTAAAAGGCTTAAGAATGGGATAAGAAACCATGAACACCACTAGTGTTTCTTTGTTTCTTTGCTGTAGCAAATACCTTCGGAGGTCTTAAACCTTGATCTCTTAGGTGTTTGGAGCTCTCCTTTTTATATAGTGGTGACATTGGTGATATCCTTTGGAAAGGTTTTGGAGAACAAAGGTTTTAATCTTGGCCTTGGGCAAGATATTTAACCTTTCTGAGATGTTATTTCCTCATCTTTTAAAAGGGCATGAGGAAATCTCCCTGAAAGTGTTGCTGTAAATTTAAAATAACATCTTTATGTAAGACTGAGCACTGTGCTGGATGCATAATACACCAAAAACAGAAGAATTCCCTCATGGAATATATATATCCGGATTTGTCTTGATTGTGTCAGTTGACAAAATGAACATAGGCTTAGCAATAAGAGAAGATAATACCTTTCAATGGGGGGATGGTACAAATTTTCTAGGTTTGGTGGGGTGGCTAGGGAAATCATTTGATTGCTTTGAATTATGAAGGTGAATTAGAATTTCCTGGAAAATTTGTAAAATAACACATATTCATAAGCTTCATCTTAGACCCACTGAATCTAAAAATCATCTTGACATGCCAATACTCTGTATTTTTAATTAGCTCCTCAACTGATAACAATACAACCAGGCTGTTTGGCAGCAGTCGGAGGATCACCACCAAATACATTACACGATGTTATAAAAGTTCATCTGGGCTCCAGTCACATATGAACTCTTTTTTTTCCACAAAGTATCATTGTAATCAATCCCTAAACGAAGTGTTAAATAACATTAGTCAGCTCATGATAAATAAATAATGAAAATAATTTTCACCACTCTGATTTTGTTGTTAACAAGAAAATTAATCTAAAACAACTTTTATTTATGTTTGATAAACATCCTGGCAATTTTCCTGCCTACACTCAATATTTCAAATATGCATATGTAGGAATTTAAAATTATTCCACAGCATTTTAACAGTTGAATTATTTTAAATATGCTCATAAAAGCCATTGAGATGTGCTTTTAATACATACTGTTGACTTAGAGGTTGCCTTTATTCAAACGATTATTTTTTCTTTCCTGAAAATTTCCAATTGTCTGGTCAATTATTTAACTACACTGGCATTTATCCAATTTTCTTACATTGCAGAACATATATCCAATTTTGGTTTCTTTGGAAATCCTCAACAAAAATTGCTTTTCTGCCAATTCTACCTGCCAGTAGTAAAAATTATCCCCTATTTTTACAAAGCCAACAAGCCATAAATTATAGAGAAATATCAGATCTCTGAAAATGTGTTGAATGTCTGTTTTCCCCAAATTCATATGCTGAAACCTAATTCCAATGTATTAGGTGGGGCTTTTGGTGGGGGTGATTAGGTAATGAGAGCTGTGACCTTGTGAATGGGATTAGTGTCTGTGTAGTATGTTTTGCATTGCTATGAAGGAATACCTGAGACTGGGTAATTTATAAAGAAAAGAGGTTTATTTTCTCTCATAGGTCTACAGACTGTACAAGAAACATGGAATCAGCATCTCTATCTGATGAAGGCCTTAGGAATCTTCCACTCATGGAGGAAGGTGAAGGGGAGGCAGGTGTGTCACATAGTGAGAGAGGGAGCAAGAGAAAAGGAGCAGGAGAGACGAGAGATACCAGACTCTTTTTTAATAATGAGATCTCTTGCTATTTCATTACCATGAAGAGGCACTAAGCCATTCATGAGGGATCTGCCCCCATGACCCAAACACTTCCCACCAGGTCCCACCTCCAATACTGGGGATCACATTTCAACGTAAGATTTGTAGGGACCAAACGTCCAAGCTATATCAGTCCCCGTGTAAGAGAGACCCTAGAGAGCTAATGAGCTCCTTCTATTATATGAGGACTCAATGAGAAGATGAGTTCTATGAACCAGAAAATGACCCTCATCCGACACTGAATCTGAGGGCATCTTTTGATCTTTAACTTTCCAGCCTCCAGAACTGTGAGAAAAAATTCCTATTGTTTAGAAGCCACCCAGTGTATGATAATTTTTGTTATAGCAGTTTTAACAGATTATGACAATATGCCTTTCCATATCAACATAAAGAAAATCTGAGAATGGAAATTATTGTCAATACTTGGGAAGGGAAATAATGAAATAAGATTTTTCCCATAAATCTAAAACTTCTAAAAACACAAGATTAAAGACTTTTTTATGCAAGTATGTGTACATATAGAAGAAAATGCTTTTTGCAGACTTTCACATGACCATAGAGTTTATTTTGGAAAATAAAAGTTTATTGAGTCTTTCGGGCTTTTATTATTTTTTTAAAAAGCTTATAACTAGAAGAAAATTTCCTAAATTTTTAATCAAAGCACTTTTTGTAACAGTAGTTTAGAACTATTACACCCCAAGATACTGGATAGACAGAGAAATGTGCAATCACACATCAAATTAAATAAAATAGATTACATAAAGCCTCTAGTGCCAGATATTAATGGGAACAGATATTTAGCTAGTCACTATTATTCTATTAATCTACTTGTTCATTTAGGTAAACTGCTAGATACATGCAGCATCAGGTTTGTTTTAGAAATAAAATCAATCTTGAAATCACCTTCTCTACCTTCTTTTACAGGAAAACAAAACAAAACTTCTGGAATGCCTCTTCATCTGTACTGTATCCTTGACAGAATTCCTATTGAGTGGTTTTCATATTTAACAACAGATCCAATTTTGTCAAATAAATTCTTACATGGAACTCCAATCCGTTGAATTAGAAGAAAAGTTAGTATAAGTTATTTCAAGTTTAATAGTTTTAGTTGTTAATTTATTTCTTAATTTTGTCTTTCAGGGCACAGTGTTGAGAAATCATTTACACAGACAAAAAATTGCAACTGATTTTTAACTATTTCTGCGTGCTATCTTCCTACATTTTCCAATTAAATTCTGATAGTTCGACAAGAACTGATTTCTATTTTTCAAAATTATATCACTAACTTACCAATATTCAACTAGTGCTTGCTTTCAATGATTGGTTAATATTGGCTCTGAAAACGTTCCTTTGCCAACATAAATGTTCATTAAGAATTTTTCAAAAATGTCAAAAAAATACCACCTCAGTTTCAACTATGAAGTAACAATTTAATATTTCAAAACAGTCATATTTATTTTTCCTTGCTGTTAAAATCAAACTTTAGCTTCAATTTTAAGGCGGGCATTCTATATACATTTAAAAGTAGGTAATTTTGTGAGTGTGAATTGGACTTACTTAGATTACTAAAATTAGCAGCAAAATATATAACCTGTTTCCACAACATCTGGAGTTTAAGTATTAACACTGTAAAATATTATCTGAATTTCTCATATTTTAAACTATCATATGGACAATAGAACAGATTCCACTATAAAAATAATTTTTAAATCACTTCAAGTAGGATTACATGTAACTCTGAATGAAATGCAGTTAAAACATAAAACATAATAAAAATATAACTAGTGTAGTGTTTGCTGACAGTATTTGCCTAGCAAATTTCCTTAATCAGGGATCTTTTTAATGAAACACAATGATGGTTCATACATAATAAAAGTCTCATACGTGCTTTTTTGCTTAGATAGTTTTCAAATTTTTAATACAGCTTTCATTACACTTTTGATACCTTACTTGATAAAATATTTTTAAACGCAAATGCTTAAACACTGTAAATATTTTTTCTTAATTTTTATGATTACCTGGAAAATAATGAGAACAGTAACATCTGAAGCCTCTTCCACCTGAATGATGAAGATGTCAAATATTCTCAGCCTCAAATTAATGTGTCAAGTACATTGGATTTGTATCTTTGTGTTCTTTCCTATCTTCTTAAAAAATTGTGCTAATTACATTTTCAAAAATTGTTGTTTTTCTAACATATTGGTTACAATATCAATATATGTGGCTTAATAAAATAGTCTCTGAGAACATGTGCTTTTCTGAATGTGTCAGGTGGCAGCTTGCTTTTAACAATATTGTAAGTTTTTATAATCAGATTTAAATTGTGTTTATCTAAAATATTTATGAACATTGAATTTATGGTGAACAAAGCAGAGTCTTCTTTCAAATCGCATGTAGTTATGTTTCAAATATGTGAAATTTTTGAATACTTCATTAAAATTTTATTTTAATAGAACACATTAAATATCTGAGTAATTTTTATCTTCATAAAAAGTACAACCTGGTAAAAATAAGTTGTGTCACATTCTCAATTTCAAGTGATCTACATATGAGTTAACACTTTTTTTTATTTCATTGACTTTTATCATTGTGGTTGGTATCAGGGAATTGCCTGGTACTAATATATGACATTTCATTTTTGAGCCTGATCAACTCTCATCATATACAGGGTATTTTGTCTGTTGGTTTGATTTCCTGTCTTTCATTATGAAACGATTACTAATTTCAAGTGTAGTTATTTTATCTCACTAGAAATGATCATAGGTTTTGTATGTGTGTGTGGGTATATGTGCATGCATAGAGCAAAAAAAGCACTACAAAACCTTGAAGGGCTGAATTTTAAAAAAATATATTGTTGTTATTGGCACAAACAATCTGCATTTTCCCTGTTATGTTATTTTCATTCTAAAACTATTTTTCTGTGTTGAGAACTTACTCCAGCAGAAACAACTGATTATTTCCTGAGACATTTTATGCATAGTGACATTAAGATTTGAATGAAAATCTAAAGAATGGATATAATTTGTAAATACAGAGAGAATTAGAGTAAGTAATTAAAATCAGGAAAATAATTCACATAAATATTTAGAGGAAGAATGGAGTATAATGTGTTGGGTCAGAGGTGTCAGATGTTTTAGGTGTGGTGAAGAGAAGACTAGCCTGAAGAGAAGACTATAATGAAAACTTTGGCAGAACAGTGATGGAGGAAAAAAGTGGAGCTGGATTATTGACAACTCTAAATGCCTTCTTGGAGGAGTTTGGATTTTAACATCCTGTTAGGACATTGGCAGTTGAGGGTCCTTGAAGGATTTGTGGTACAGAGTTGATAAGCGTAAATTAATGCCTTAAAAATATTAGTTTGGTTTAGAAGAAGTAATTCATTTTGGGTAGCAATGTGGATTCTGGAAGAAAAACAACATCAGAAATGGGACAACATCTTGACTAGACTAGGGTGTAGGCACAGGGAAAATAAAGAAGGAAAATAGTGACAGTTGTTTTTATTTGTTTGTTTTCAGAGAGTCTCCCCCTGTTGCCCAGGCTGGAGTACAGTGGCCGTGATCTCTGCTCACTGCAACCTCCGCCTTCTGGGTTCAAGCGATTCTTCTGCCTCAGCCTCCCGAGTAGCTGGGACTACAGGCGTGCACTACCACGCCTGGCTAATTTTTGTATTTTTAGTAGAGACGGGGTTTCACCATATTGGCCAGGCTAGTCTCAAACTCCTGACCTCGTGATCTGCCGGCCTCAGCCTCCTAAAGTGCTGGGATTACAGGCATGAGCCACCGTGCCAGGCCGAGAGATGTTTTCTTGGATTTGCCTTATTAAAAACATTTCAGCCTGTTTTCACATGACATTTCAATGCCTTTCAGGATTGATGACATTCTCGCTTCTGTAAACAACAGCAAGAATTTTTTTTTATGTGCAATACAGACAATGGGGACATATGCACTGATTTCATCAACGTGGGCATACACACTGCTCACGATCCGTGTGATCAACAAAGATAGCAGGAAATGGTCATCACCAATGTCTGGGTCTCAGTTCATACTTGTACATGATGGGTTCAAAACCTACCTTCTTCCTTCCCTACCTGAAAGGAACACCATTAAAGCTTTGGGTCAGAAGGAAAAGATGAGCTATCAACTTACCACAGGCAGCCTTTGACAGCTTTTCCATTTGTATATGCATTTCAATCAATTTTAAATCAGAGAGACAATAAAGCAAATCTCTTTCAGCTTTCAATTTGCCTCTGCAGTGATGGGTGCCCTGTCTGATGTTTACAGTTCACAGTCTCTTAATAATGGATGATTTTAGCACTTGCTTCTTTCTATATATTTTTATAATGCTTTCAGCAATTTCATTAGTGCTGCTTTTTAAGATGACAATTTGACTAAAATGAAAAGCTCAAGAAGCAGTTTGAGGTAGAGCAAAAAGGGAAATTAATCTAACTTTGGGAAAAACTGATTTTTTAAAAATTCTGCTTCTTTCTAACATCTTCATTTATTTTCACCTAAAATGTCAGGTAATTTTTCCAGGCCTTTTCAGTTTTCTGCAGCCATTCTATAGAAGTTACATTCTCTAGCACATTTGCCATGAGTCAAGTTATTCTTCTTCAACCTGTACTTGCCCATTCACAAAATGCCTCTTCATCAAATAACTCTACCTTTTTGGTTTACCCCAAATGACTTTTACTTGGATTTATCCATTTCACAATCCTAATATTACTGCTATTCTATAAAATTAATTAAAAGTGCATCTGAGCCCTATTGCCATGTTTTTGTTTGTTTCATTTAGGTTGATATTGTCAAGTATCTTATCAATGCCACTTTGTCAATAAAAAAAATGTATTTAAAGTAGTCTCCTTCTGCACCCCATGAGACATAGTAAAGTGTAGCGGGTTTATTTTTTTTTGAAGTGAAGCATCATTTCTTATTTTAAAAATATATGTTGGGCTGGGTGTAATGGCTCACACCTGTAATCCCAGTACTTTGGGAGGCTGAGGTGGGCGGATTGCCTGAGCTCCTGAGTTTGAGACCAGCCTGGGCAATATGGTAAAACTCCATCTCTACTAAAATACAAAAAATTAGCCAGCTGTGGCAGTGTACGCCTGCAGTCCCAGCTGCTCAGGAGGCTGAGGCAGGAGAATTTCTTGAACCCAGGAGGCAGAGGTTGCAGTGAGCCAAGATTGCACCTTGCACCACTGCACTCCAGCCTGGGTGAGAGAGCAAGACGCCGTCTCCAAAAAAAATATATATATATACATATATATATATGTTAAAAGTGTATCTCTCTGCTCCTCAACCAAAGCTTTGGCACTTGCCAAATATTCAGCCTGGAAAATAAATGAGATTATGGAGGAAAAAAAAAAACTTAAACGTCAGTTAACCAATTGGCTTATCATCTCTTAAAAATATCTCCTATTGAAATAGGAACACTTTTACACTGTTGGTGGGACTGTAAACTAGTTCAACCATTGTGGAAGGCAGTGTGGTGATTCCTCAAGAATCTAGAACTAGAAATGTCATTTGACCCAGCCATCCCATTACTGGGTATATACCCAAAGGATTATAAATCATGCTGCTATATAGACACATGCACATGTATGTTTATTGCGGCACTATTCACAATAGTAAAGACTTGGAACCAACCCAAATGTCCAACAATGATAGACCGGATTAAGAAAATGTGGCACATATACACCATGGAATACTATGCAGCCATTAAAAAGGATGTCCCTCCTTTGTAGGGACATGGATGAAGCTAGAAACCATCATTCTGAGCAAACTATCACAAGGACAGAAAATCAAACACCACATGTTCTCACTCATAGGTGGGAATTGAACAATGAGAACACTTGGACACAGGGTGGGGAACATCACACACCAGGGCCTGTTGTGGGGTGGCGGGAGGGAGGAGGGATAGCATTAGGAGATATACCTAATGTAAATGACGAGTCAATGGGTTCAGCACACCAACATGGTACATGTATACATATGTAACAAACCTGCATGTTGTGCACATGTACCCTAGAACTTAAAGTATAATTTTAAAAAAAAAGTAAAAAAAAAAAAATCTCTCCTATCAATGTAGTTGGTAATATGGTGACCAAAATGGAAAGAGGCAGATGATTCTGAATCAGTGAATAATAACATAACATTTGGATACATAAGTCATAAGCATATGTTGGGAAAATTATAATGGTAAGAAAAGCACTTATTATTTATTTCCTTTTTTTTTAAATCTAATTAGAGCTCCTTTGTAGAGAGCAGACCACACTTAGAAGTGGTGTGCCATTCTTGCAGTGAGCTGAGATTGCACCACTGCACTCCAGCCTGGGCACAGGGCAAGACTCCATCACAAAAAAAAAAAAAAAAAAAAGTGGTGTACCATTTTTGGATGTCAACTTTAGTTAAATCATTTTTTAATTTCACATAATGGTATAAGTTGGGAAAACAAAGGAATTTATTGGCTCTTATATGAGCCCCCAGGGCTTAAATTGATTTAAATGCAGCTCTGCCTAGGAGGTCAACAATATCACATGGTATCTTTCTCTCTAGGAGTTGACTCCATTAATTTCTCTTGATCCTCATTTTTTACACAGTTTGTTTTCATGTGGCAGTGAGGCTGAAAAATAGGGTCTGGAGGCAGGGAACATAAGGCTGATCCTTATGTTCAGGTATGAGAGGAAATCCCCTCTCCATAGGGCATATACCGAGTAAATGACTTTGCACCTTTACTTCATCCTCTTCATTTATATAGGGCATATCCCAAGTAGAGAGTATTTAAACTCACAAGAACTCTATAACAGGACCTTTGAGCCTCTGCACTCGGGGCTGCTCCCACACTGTGGAGTGTACTTTCATTTTCAATAAATCACTTCATTACTTTCTTGTTTGTGCATTTTGTTCAATTTCTTTTCTTTTTTTTTTTTTTTTTTTTTTTGGGACAGAGTCTCACTCTGTGGCCCAGGCTGGAGTGCAATGGTGTGATCTTGGCTCACTGCAACCTCCACCTCTAGGGTTCAAATGATTCTCCTGCCTCAGCCTCCCAAGTAGCTGGGACTACAGGCACCCACCACCATGCCTGGCTAATTTTTGTATTTTTAGTAGAGACGGGGTTTCACCGTATTGGCCAGGCTGGTCTTGAACTCCTGACCTTGTGATCCACCCGCCTCAGCCTCCCAAAGTGCTGGGATTGCAGGCATGAGCCACTGCGCCTGGCCACATTTTGTTCAATTCTTTGTCCAAGACACGAAGAACCTAGACACCCTCTACCATTAACAGTAGGACAGTTGCCAGATATTCTTATTCTTCTAGCTTAGCTATTCCAGGGAAATCTCACTGGCCCTATTTGGATGGATTACCATTGACAGTGAATGGGATCCTCTTTTTGAAGTAGCTTGCACCTTCAAAATTTTATGATAACTTCCTAGATTAGTTACTCCTCCAGAGCCTGAAGAAGATAAGGAAAATATGATGGTCAAATAAAACTAGAGCTTCTACAGTCTGCAGGACTCTGAAAAACATGCAGTACATATATGGGTATGTGTTTTTGGTAATGTGAGAGAACTGATAAGGCCACATACAGAAATAACCCAGGGAAAGAAAAAAATTTAAACTAATATAATGACTGTCTTCAAATATGCAACCAATGAATACGTATTTATAAACTATTTGTAACATACCAGACTCTAGGCTAGATGCAAAGAATATAATACCACAAAAAGAAAAAGAAATAATCATTGCCATTTTGAAGGACCTATGATGTGAAGTATTACACTTATTTTTCATAGTTCTCATGGTACAATTAAAAAGCAATGGCTGTAAGAGACAGGGAGACAGATTTATTGGGAAATATATTCCAACAGTAACAGTTCTCCCCGGTCATATAATATATGACATTTTTCTGGTCCTCCTTCAAAAGCTATTAATTACTTGCTTATTATTCTATTTTGTGACTTTTCCCTAAGGCTCAATATGCATTCACCAGAATACCTACATTCATGTTTTTTCCTTTTTTTCCTTGGTAACCTTATACTGTCTTAAAGTTTAAAATTTACCTTAATGTTGACTTAAATTTAGACTTCATGTTTCCCAGTTACCTATAAAATGTCTCCAATCAGATACTTTTACCTAAGGGCCATTGTGATAGGAATTAAAGTGTGCTTTCCTCCCTGCTTCTTTCTCCTAACATTCTTCTTTTATCAATGGCACCATATTAACTCACATTCAAAACACTTATTATAATTTTAATCATTTTTAAAATTTGCTATTATTTCTCAATAAGTAGAGAAAAACCACTGATAATTTACACAGTCATGATCCATACACTTATCAAAGCTCCAGAACCAATTAAATGTGTTAATTTCAGCCTAAATGACAGATTTTTATAATAATAAGTTATGGTTATTTAAATAATTGCTTATTTTTCTAATACCATATCTCAGGGAAGGAGGCTTTGAATAAACATCAATGAATACATGATTCTAAATTTATTTACTTATTTATGAGAGGGAGTCTCGCTCTGTTGCCCAGGCTGGAGTGCAGTGGCGCGATCTTGGCTCACTGCAAGCTCCGCCTCGTGGGTTCATGCCATTCTCCTGCCTCAGCCTCCCGAGTAGCTGGGACTACAGGCACCCGCCACTACACCCGGCCAATTTTTTTGTATTTTTAGTAGATACGGGGTTTCACCATGTTAGCCAGGATGGTCTCAATCTCCTGACCTCGTGATCCGCCCACCTCAGCCTCCCAAAGTGCTGGGATTACAGGTGTGAGCCACCGTGCCCAGCTGATTCTAAATTTATAAGAATTAATAACACATACATAATCATTCTGGAACAACAACCCTTATATCTTAAAGTTGCCTCTTTAGCTTGATTAGAGTTGAATTGAAGACAAACGGTTAAATCCCTAGATTAACTCATGGTGGAACTTTACAGAATACCAGTTGGCTTATTCTGATGGAGAGCTTTCCCCAAAATCCTCATCTTCACTGATGCATCTTGGCATATGTCTCAGATTTGCTGTAATGGTGGGCTTGAATTGTTATGCCACCTTGAAGATTAATGTGAACTTATATCATAATTTAGTCTACATGCAAAGGCTGTCTTTTTTTTTTTGAAAAACTTTGTTTCCAGTAGCTTCAGCAATGACCTTGAATCTCTCAGATACTTGCTTGTTAATTATATTGACTCTAAATTCCTTAGTTATTAAAATAGTTCTGATTCATTTCATTGAGTTTCTCCTCAGTACCTCCCTATTATTTTCCTTACTTATTATAAACCATAGGCTTTATGTGCATGCAAATTACAAATATCTTACTCATTTTTTAAAAAATTAAAACACATATAATACTTTTTCTGGAATCAAATTGAAATCTAGGGTTTGTCAACCTTGGTAGCACCTGAGAATTGCTGAGAAATCCTTTTAATATCAGTATAATATAAACAGAAATGATGTTGATGATGATGATGACAATTATGATAGCTAATTCTCACTGAGGGCTTCATATGTGCCAGGCTAGATGCTTCATATGAATTAAATCATTGAATCTTTAAAAGGACTCTATTGGATAAGTTATTACCTCATTATAAAGATGAGGAGACTGATATAGGAATGAGATTAATTAAGCTGTTCAGTGTCACAAAACTAATAAGTAGAAGAATTGGGATTGAAAACCAGGCAGTTCACCTCCAGATTCAATCCATTGTCTCAAAAACTCAGTAGTAACTCTGCAATGGATAAGTAAAACTTTTATATTTGGACAAGAATCTTAGATTGCCTTGGCAACACACAAATTATGAGAAGGAGATGGGCTTCAAAGTTAGTTTTGTCTGAATTTAAAGTCTGGGAACTTAATCACTACATGATATTTTAAATGAATGTAGTAGTAACATTCCGGGCAATTCAGAAAAATAGAAAAATCACAATTGAGGAAGGCTAAAAATATAACTTAAAAAATGAATACATAGCAGTTTGGAAATTGTTAAATTACTTTTCCTATACTATTTTTTCTAAAACAACAATGCATTATTGATTTTTTTATTGTTCCCATTAATATTACCTTATTATGAGAAGTTTTAGTATACTGAATCTATTATTTCTTTATATACATATATATGGTTAAAAGTACTGTAAAAGGGCCAGGCGCGGTGGCTCACACCT
Source organism: Homo sapiens (assembly GCF_000001405.40). Classification (NCBI taxonomy): domain Eukaryota; kingdom Metazoa; phylum Chordata; class Mammalia; order Primates; family Hominidae; genus Homo; species Homo sapiens. The sequence goes on along the minus strand of NC_000011.10, from coordinate 39,471,488 downwards.
GAAATCCCAGCACTTTGGGAGGCCGAGGCGGGCAGATCACGAGGTCAGGAGATTGAGACCATTCTGGCTAACAAGGTGAAACCCCGTCTCTACTAAAAATACAAAAAAATTAGCCAGGTGTGGTGGTGGACACCTGTAGTCCCAGCTACTCAGGAGGCTGAGGCAGGAGAATGGCGTGAACCCAGGAGGTGGATCTTGCAGTGAGCTGAGATCACACCACTGCACTCCAGCCTGGGCAACAGAGCAAGACTCCGTCTCAAAAAAAAAAAAAAGTACTGTAAAAGTTACTAGTGATGTGGGATAGAAAAGGCTCCCAAGTCATGGCAAATGCTATAAGAATGACAATCTGGAGGAGTGCGTCAAGAAGGCAACATTCATATTTGGTGTCATCTTCCCCCATATACTTCTACTAAGGGCTTCCTCCATAATTCCCTAATTGCTATGTGTTTTTATGTTAAGAAGAAAAAAAAAACACCTTATAGGGACTAATCACATTGATATTTTGTGCCTACATATTATCTCTTAACAATGTGTGGCTTGAAGTTTTAGTAAAATATGGCCACCCAAAGATATTAAGTCCTAGTTTTGGAATGTGTCAATGTTATTTGGATAAATGGACTTTGCAGGTATAAGTTAATGAAGAATCTTGATATGAGGAAAATACCCTGGATTATTTAGAAGAAGGTGGTTTGAAGAAGCAGGAAAAAGATGTAGTGATGTTATCTTAAGCTAAGAAATGCCAGAAAGCACCAAAAGCTGGAAGAGGCCACAAGAGAATCTCTCCAAAAGTGTCAGTAGGGAGTGTGGTTCTAAGGACACCTTGATTTTGAATTATTAGCCTCTGGAACTGTGAAAGACAAATTTGTTATTTTAAGCCACCAAGTTTGTGATAATTTGTTACAGTAGCCTCAAGGACTAATACTGTGGGTTAAATATAACTTAAATGGCTGAAGGGAATGGGAGGAAGGAAGAAAAGCAGAGGGCAGCAAAGGTGAATAGTCAAATTGATGTTCAAATGGAACTCTGTATATCTAGTTTGATTAGGACCCAAAATAATAGGTGAAAATTTCCCCCACATCCATATGAAGTGCTATTCGCCAATAATACTTGACAAGCATGGGGTTGAAAACCAAAAGATAGAAGGGGAAATGAATTCTGATGATTGTCTGACACAAACATTTTATAAATTGCATGGAAGAAGAAGTAGGGCATACATTTATTGTATAGAATAGATATGTGTATTAGTCCATTTTCATGCTACTGATAAAGGCATACCTGAGAATGGGAATTTACAAAAGAAAGAGGTTTATTGGACTTACAGTTCCACATGGTTGAGGAGGCCTCACAATCATGGTGGAAGGCCAGGAGGAGCAAGTCACATCTTACGTGGATGGCAGCAGGCAAAGAGTGGTTGTGCAGAGAAACTCCCGATTTTAAAACCATATCTCATAAGACCCATTTATTATCACAAGAAGAGCATGGAAAGGATCCCCCACACACACCCATGATTCAGTCATCTCCCACGGGGTCCTTCCCACAACACATGGGAATTATGGGAGCTTCAAGATGAGATTTGGGTGGGGCCACAGAGCCAAGCCACATCAGTATGGATGGACAGTAGGAAAAAAAAAATCAACTGTTCATTTTTTTTTCTTACAACACCAGCATATCCCACTTGTTTCACATATTAATTAAAATGATAGTAAGTGGGGGATATTAACCCACCATCTTGCGAGCAATGCTCAATGTAATGGCTCTATCCAATTGAAGTGACCACTCCAAGAAAAGGGATATTTGTATTACACTGAGGTTCTGTATGAGGTCTTTCTGCTATCCTCTCATGAGCTGATATAGATCAGAGCTGTGAAATTCTGCAGCAGTGGAGGGCACTGGCTTATAAGAATCCAAACTAAATTCTTTCTACCCTTCCCTTCTACTCTTTCATAATCTTTAGGCTCAACGTAGGCATCTTTCTGTGTTACTTTCTAACTCATCCCCTACACATCTAGCTCTCTCTTTCCCTTTCTTCCCTCTTTCTTTAACACAGTATACAAAGAAAAACTGTACCAGGTTACCAAGAAGGCCTTAACATTCCCATCAGCTCGACTACATTTTAGGGAGGCTTTTTTTTTTTTTTTTTTTTTTTTTTGAGATGGAGTCTCGCTCTGTCGCCCAGGCTAGAGTGCAGTGGCGCGATCTCGGCTCACTGCAAGCTCCACCTCCCGGGTTCACGCCATTCTCCTGCCTCAGCCTCCCAAGTAGCTGGGACTACAGGTGCCTGCCACCAAGCCCAGCTAATTTTTTGTATTTTTAGTAGAGACGGGGTTTCACCGTGTTAGCCAGGATGGTCTCGATCTCCTGACCTCGTGAGCCGCCCGCCTCAGTCTCTCAAAGTGCTGGAATTGCAGGCGTGAGCCACTGTACGCGGCCAAGATGAAAATCTTTTTAAAAGCCTTTTGCCAGTTTTACAACCGAAAACTGTGTTTTAAAGATCTGGGAGCCTTCCCTTTAAAATGTAATCATCAAGGCAGATGGCATCCCTATTTCCAGTTTCAGGGGAGGAAGGAAAGTTAGGACCCTAACCTGGGTATGTGCTTCTGTCCCCAGTTTAAAACTGCCTCCTGCAATGAAGATATGCGAAATATTACTTTTCATTTGGGTAAGGCCAATTGGATGGCATAAGATTCCCCAACCCCCAAAGAGTTTTAAGCTCTAAAAAACTCTCCAGATCTTTGTTTTAGGAGAATGGAATTGAGAATGAATTCTGGTTTTTCTTCCCTATTGCAATAACTTTGAATAAAGAGTCCCTTCCCTTTTTAACATTGTCTGTTAAAGGTTTTACTTTGATATAATAAAGAAAAAAGCCAAGTCATTGACCTTGTTTTTTTTCTCTTTTTTTACAAGTGGAATTCTTTTATAATGATCAGGAAGGAAAACGGAAGAAGCTGGAGGTATCATTAATAATTTTAAAAATTACTAAGCATAAATATTGTCATATTTTCTTAACAGTCCCAATTAGGGTTTTATTCATATATTGGCATTTAAAAGACAGTTTGTATTTTTGATAGTGGCATAATTTCTATTTATATAATTTTTTATTTATTTTTTAGAAAGCCAACTCAGAGTAGCTGCTGTAAAATATCAGTTAACCATTCAACATTAACCACACTTTTTATTTCTCAATGGCTGACCTGCTTAGTAGGGCACAGTGATAGATTTTTTAAAAAGCTAGAGGCCGGGTGCGGTGGTCACGCCTGTAATGCCAGGACTTTGGGAGGCCGACGTGGGTGGATCACAAGATCAGGAGTTTGAGACCAGCCTGGCCAATATGGTGAAACCCCGTTTCTACTAAAAGTACAAAAATGAGCCGGGTGTGGTGGTGGGCACCTGTAATCCCAGCTACTTGGGAGGCTGAGGCAGGAGAATCGCTTGAACCCGGGAGGCGGAGGTTGCAGTGAGCTGAGATTGCACCACTGCACTCCAGCCTGGGTGACAGAGCAAGACTCCGTCTCAAAAAAAAAAAAAAAAAAAAAACAGATGGAGATGACTTTATTATCTTTTAAGATAGGAGAGGATGCCAAATATATGAATTAATAATTCATATGATAAAGTGTATACATTTTTCAGGTTTGGTGGAGGCAACGTTTGTATCTATTGATCTTGTCCCATTTTAGCATTTTTTAAAAGAAGTAAATTTAAAAATATATACATATATAGAATAAGGGAACTCTATTCATGGAAAAGACATTAGAGATAATGTAGTCTCAGTATCTTCCTGGGTGAGAAATTTGAGGTTTGTAATCTATTAGGTGACTTTTCCAGGTTTATATGGCTGATGGAGTCCTATAGTCATCTGCCTGAATTCTATTATACTTCAAGTCTGCCTCTAAGTCCATTATATTTTAATTTTATCCTCTCTCTGTATGTCAGTTTACTAATTCATTACTTCACTACTTTTTAATCTTCTTTTGGATTATCTCTAATATATTTACACTGTTTTGACATTAGTGCAACTATAACTGAATGCGGCATTTGAGAATCAGATCATTTTTCACACTGTCCTGCACTATTGAAGAATATAGTATTTTGTGATTAAACAGCTGCCTTGTTTCAGCCCAGAGGCAGCTGAACTTCTGTGATGATTAAGATGATCCCTGTTTATGTGACTTGTAATCAATTTGTAATTTTGCTTGAGCACAATGAGACATTTGCATGAAAGCCCCAGATAGGACACTACAGTGCCTGGAGGCTGAGATCTGCAGGTAGTGCTCCACAAGCTTTTGCCTGCAGGAAATACAAATGAGGGTATTTCCCTTCAGCAGAAGAAATTAAACTGCGGGAAATCTTGTTGATGCAGTTATATTTTAAGACAACAGCATTCAAAATGTCAGTCATGATTAATCATTATTATTATGATTGTCATTTTCAATCTATGGTTCCATCTTTACTACTCTGAAAAATAATTCTAAAAAAGGAGAGGATACATGTATTTAATTCTGAAAAAGTGGGTTTAATGTTCTCAGTTCTGCAAGTGGAATAAGACCAAAGGTTAAGAGCATCTTCATTCTTGTATAATTATAACTTTGTATACTGTCACCAAAAATCTCTAAGCCTCAGTTTTCTCATCTGTAAAATGGAGATAATTTTAAAAAGCACCATCCAGATCACTGGACTTGTGACTACCAAGTGACGTAGTATAGCTGAAAAATCTAAACTGTGAAAATAATACAGATAGTGGTAGCGCTATGAATGCAAGTCTCTGAAATGTCTAGATTATGCCAAAGTTTTAGAAATGAAAAATATAATTAATCATCTTTTAAGCTAGGGGGTATTGACACCAGCATCAAATGTATAGATTGTAATTTATGTTTGAAATCATTTAATGTCAGCAGATTCCTTTTATCCTTTGTAGACTGGAAGATCTACTTCAATACAGGTTGGGGAACTTGGGCACCGTAGGAGAAAATATTTTAGATGTGTGGCTAAAATACACTGTTTGGACTGTTGAACTCTAAATAATAATTTCTTTAGACATATTAATATATGTATCTATGATGTGTATGCATGTGTATTGGCATATGTATCTTAACATGGGAATGTTAAGTATACCATTAATTTATCAAAGGCCTGTAGATCTTGAAAACCTTAGCAGTTATGTAGTATGCCTTTCTAATCGATATAAGCATAAGAAATCTCAGCATCCATTTATAATACTTATTAGTCATTGACTATGTATTAGGCATTATTTTAACAAATTGTATTCTGACCTTTACTTGCATTTTTCCAGCGACTAAATGTTATTATTTTCATAGTAGTATTATTACTACTATTCATTTCCAATGCCTATAATAAGCAAAGTCAGAGGAAGTACTTATTTCTGCAACCCAACATAAACCCCAATCCATGTTTTATACTAATTGAATGAATCAACTGTGGATCCAGAAAAATTTAAACAAAATAAGAAAAAGATTTATTTGTATTTAAAGGAGAATAGATATCTGAACATATATACAAATCTAAATGAGTCAGAGCTAGAGAGCCATAATTAACATATTTTCCTTTTTTAAACTAACAGGAAGGCATGTGTCACATTTTTAATTCTGGATACACAAAGGTGCCTTTTCCAGGCATTTAGGCTTCCTATAATACGGTCTACTACATCTTAGTAGCCTATGCTATTTCCTGTATCATCATACTATAACTCACTAAAAGCCATAATTGGTTCATACATCATATGAGAGCTAAGAGGGTCTCACAAAACCAGGTAGTTGGTAGCACAGTGTGTCATTTAGGCCCCACTCGGTAGTAGATTGTTCAGGAAAGAATTAAAAGTACTCTTTGGAATGAAATCTCTAGACTGATTTTGAATTCCTATCTTATTTGGATTGCAAAATGAAATGCTCTCTTTCTCCCGCCATAGAAGCCACATTATGGTTCTGAAAACCAGGATTCCACAAGCTGTCCATGAGTATAACGAGATTCTTCTGTGGCTGATGCAGGAGTTCCTTTGATCCCATTAGAACCCGAGATGTTTAGCTTCTCTGCTGAGGCCCAAGACAGACAGAATTCCTTTCCCTTGCTTGACTGAGAACTTGACTGTGGCTGGCAAATCGCTTCCCTGTAGTTAGCAGTACAGCTTTCTTAGACTTTCCTTAGATTTCACCTTTTTTAGCTTTGTCACCAGACATCTGCATGTTTTATGAGGACAGAATTATATGTACCTTGCTCAGCATTCTATCTCCAGAATCTAACATAATGCTTAGCACTGGAGATATGTGGAACATTTGAAAGAGTGAATAAATAATGTATCCAGTAAAATCAATTTGATATTAATAGGAGAAAAGAAATGAAGATATTCTCACTTTTAGGCTATATTGAACTAAAAGTTTGAAGTATATTAGAGGAAAAAGGCATTAACTATGTAAATATGGTAGTCTTAGATTGGATGACCTAATAATTTATGATCCAAAATGGAACACTTTTCAGAGTGAAATGAGTTGCTGTGTGGATCAGACACTGGGGTAACACACATAAAAACATGACAGTTCTGGGTAAATAAAAAATTACAGGTACTCTAGATATAGAATAATTTACTTATGTTTGAAAGAAAGGATAGAATCAGTACATTTTTATTGAGTACTTATTCTATACAAGGCTGCATTGGATACTGTTACTGATAATTTATTAAATTCCAATAAAATCAAAAGGGCTTAACTATAAACTTTCTTCATTGGCAAACTATGAACCACAAATTAGGCAATGAAAGCTTGTCTTCTATAAAGAAAAATTATCAAGTAGGTAATAAGTGGGAGAATTAATTACAGACATATTTAAGTTCTCATTCTCTAGACATGCAGGTCAATAAGATCGTTCCAGGAAGCATTACAAGTTAATCTGGGGCTCAAACTTTCTAATTAAACACAAAATGTGTCTTCATATACCTAAAATTCTGAAACCAACTATGTTCATTTCTTAACTTTTTTCTTCTGAAAACACATTTCAAAATAAAGCCCAAGAACAATTTTTTTGTTCACCACACTACTGATGATTTGTGAATAGGAAGGCCCTCATTGTTGAAGGAAGGCCCTCATTGTTGAATTTCTATCTATTCTCTTCAGAATGGAATAGTAAATGGGACCATTTATACAGTTCTTATTGAGGCCTTAGTGCTTAAGACAAAAGAGCCACAGAGAACATTCAGAGCATTTAATAAATGTTGAGTGGACAAACCTAAAGGCAGACATGCGAAGCATTTCCAAATGTGGCCCTAGTACCATTTTTCTGCATCCTTGATGGAAAGGGTTACATCAGATTCAACCTTGCAAGCTCTAGCTTTCCTTCAGTTTGATTTAGTACTGGTGTCCTTAGAGCCTAGAATGGTTTTTCCTCCAGATTTGTCATGGACAGTACTGCATATGCCTGTTCTCCTAGCTTATTTCTCAATACTGTAATCTTTTAATGACAAATAATATGGTCACCATACCAGAACATAGCAAATAGTAAGTAGACAATAAATTAATTTATTCAGCATTAATTTATGGTGTATTTATTACACATTTACTATTTGTACATTTTACTGTTTGTCTATTTACTATTTAACATTAATAAATACATGTTAAATAGAGGCTCTGTTCTATGTTGATATTCCTCAAGTAGTGTCCTTTTATTATTGATATTAAAAATGAGTCCACGTTGTTGGACTGGTGCTAATCTGTCAGACATAGTTCCTTGAATAACCTATCTTGTATATACTTGATGGTAGCTTTCTATTAAATTATAATGTTTCCTTAATCAATAAGAAGTAGTCCTCTTATTAATCCAATGAGAAATATACAAATACAAAAACTATACCAATTTTGCTAATTTGGCCAAATTAAAAATAAGAGTTCTGAAGCTAATGAGTAAGAAGGCAATGGAGATGATTCTTGTGGGGTTTAGACAAAGTAAAGTTGGGGCCTGGCATGGTGGCTGACACCTGTAATCCCAGCACTTTGGGAGGCCGAGGTGGGTGGATCGCCTGCGGTCAGGAGTTGGAGACCAGCCTGGCCAACATGGTGAAACCCCATCTCTACTAAAAATACAAAAATTAGCTGGGTATGGTGGAGGGCGCCTGCAATCCCGGCTACTCAGGAGGCTGAGGCAGGAGAATTGCTTGAACCCAAGAGGAGGAGGTTGCAGTGAGCTGAGATCGCGCCATTATACTCCAGCCTGGGCAACAAGAGCAAAACTGTGTCTCAAAAAAAAAAAAAAAGAAAAAAAAAAAAGAAAGAAAGAAAAAGAAAAAGAAAAGAAAAAGGAAAGTTGGAAAATATAAATTTGTCAATTTGACTTCTAGACTGAGATTGCATAGGCTTTTTGATCACATGAAGAAAAAAATATTTTCATCAACTTAATAAGTTTATGTCTCTAGAAGATGTACATGCATTTAGACTGAGATTGATGACTAATATTCCTTTTTCTCATCTTCCAGTCCTCTTTACCAAATATTTTGTCTATCTTTCAACTTTCATTTGTATCTCTCATTGCTTTCTCTTCTCAAGAAAGGCAGTGCTGGTGCACCAGTTGACATAGCGTTTTAGTCCAACTGGCTAATTTCCAAGTGAAAATGAATCAATTGCTATTCTAGTGGAAAACAGTCTTTTGAGATTAGTTTGTGCAAATCATTATGCCAACGTTTAATCTTGCCCCAAATAAAAATCCACAAACTGCCAAGAGAAAAACTAGATCTAAATCATTGAAGACATATCAAAGAGTAGACTCTTGGGATCTTAGGTCTAAAACTGATTTTGGCCTCCATTAGCTTGCCCACAACAAGAGTGAAGAGAAAGAGAAAAAGCAAATGAGGCAATTAGGCACTGCATAATTGAGAGTTGCTCTAAATAGTTTTCCTAGTGGCCTAAAAAAAGTGCAGATTTTGCATCCTGAAAATAACCACCTCTGTGGTGCAATTGGGCCCTTAGCACATTAGTGAAAAAAAATTTGTACAGACTTGCTTTTTGTGCCTTGCAAGTCTTTCCATTGTAGATATGAGGTATTATTACCCATTTGCTGTCTTATCCATGTGAGACAAGAAGAATACAATCTCAGACTAAAGTTTTTTATTTTCTTAACTTTCTATTTTTACATTAAAAATATATGTGATTTCTGTGGAATCCTTAGGTCTTCTGACATCCAGTGACAACTATGTGTACATTTTGATACAGTAGTTGGTCTTTATCTGCAGTTTTACTTTTTGTAGTTTTAGTTTACCTATGGTCTACTGTAGTCAGAAAATAAATGAGGGGGCTGGGCGCGGTGGCTTATGCCTGTAATCCCAGCACTTTGGGAGGCAGAGGCAGGTGGATCATGAGGTCAGGAGATCGAGACCATCCTGGCTAACGCAGTGAAACCCCGTCTCTACTAAAAATACAAAAAATTAGCTGGGCGTGGTGGCGGGCGCCTGTAGTCCCAGCTACTAGGGAGGCTGAGGCAGGAAAATGGCGTGAACCCGGGAGGCGGAGCTTGCAGTGAGCCGACATCGCGCCACTGCACTCCAGCGTGGGTGACAGAGTGAGACTCTATCTCAAAAAAAAAAAAAAAAAAAAGAAAAGAAAAGAAATGAGAGTAGTACAATAAGATATTGAGAGGCAGAGAAAAAGAGATAATATTTACGTATTACATATATTATTACTTTCACATATTATACATATATTCACATATTATTTCTTTTATTATAGTATATTGTGACAATGTTCTATTTTATTGTTATTATTGTTAATTTCTTATTGTGCCAAATTTAGAAATTATACTTACCATAGGCATGTATGTACAGGAAAAAACATATTATATATAGGGTTCACTAACATTTGCAGTTGCAGGCATCCACTTGGGATCTTGGAACACATTTCTGTGGATAAAGTGGGACTACTATATTGCCTATCACAGTGATTGAAAATGTAGGGCATGAAGTATGTGAAATTTATGTTTTCTTCCTTAGGCTAATCTCATCAGCAGATCTGTCCTGAAACTAGTTTAAAAAAAATCCAGGGATTTAAATATTGAAGAATATATATTTTTTATGAAGCTCATTTTTAAAAACAATAGTATATCTGAGAATCTCTCTTGTTGAGGCATTGTATAAAAGTTTTTGAGTTCTGGGCCTGGGTCCAGGTTGGGTATTGTTAGCAAGGAGGCCACAGGCAGGGAACACTTGTACTCTAATCCCAGGCTCGATGTGTGGGTATAAATTATGTAACTGCTATCTGTTCTCTGGGCAGGACCAGCTCTCCTCTCCCAGGCAAAGGCACAACATTGGGTAAAGAATCCAAGGCTCTTTCTTATTCCTTGATCTAACTGACCTCATTTTTCTTCCAGGGCTACACTGTGCTCATTCCAGCCTTTAGGATTTTACAGTTGCTATCTGTTTTCTGTGGAAAGTTCTGTCTCCAAAACATTGCAAGTCGGTAACGTCTTACTATCCAGTTGTCATCTCAGATGTCACCTCTTCTGGATTTTATTTTCTTCATATACTAATCTCTCTGCAAAATTATCATAATGATTTATTTATCATTAAGTAAATACAAGTTTAGTTACTACTATGCAACAGGTATTGGTTCATGTTTCTGGAATACATTATTTAAAAAAATAATGTATTTTTAAATCCCTGTATTCTGGAAACAATGATGTAATATCTTATGCATTGTTTCATGCATAGGTATTACATGAAACAGGTACCATGTCATGTTTCCAGAATACAGGGATTCAAAACTAATGGTATCCCTGAAAGTAAGGAATTCAAATTGCACGCACATGATAAACATGTAAACAAATAAATCATTTTAGGGCTAGATGAAGTGTATGAAAAATAGCCACCAAGACGCAAACTGAAGCCCTAGAGAACATAGAAATTGAGAAGCTCATTTGAGTAGGTAAGGGTTAAACTCTCATTTTTAAAAATTTTTTTTGAGATGGAGTCTCACTCTGTCACCAGGCTAGAGTGCAGTGGCACGATCTCGGCTCACGGCAACCTCTGACTCCCTGGTTCAAGCGATTCTCCTGCCTCAGCCTCCTGAGTAGCTGGAATTACAGGCACGCACCACCACACCCAGCTAATTTTTGTATTTTTAGTACAGATAGGGTTTCACCATGTTGGCCAGGATGGTCTCAATCTCCTGACCTTGTGATTCACCTGCCTCGGCCTCCCGGAGTGCTGGGATTACAGGTGTGAGCCACTGTGACCAGCCAAGGGTTAAATTCTTGAGACGATTGTGTTTTAACTTATTCTTAATTTGTAAAGATCTTATAAATGAGCACTGCAAGCAAAAAGCACAGGAAGTACAAAGCATGGACAGAACTGAGCAAGAGAATGAAAGTCAGAGAATGAGTGAGCAGAGAGAGGTGAGTTCTGAGAATCTGACAGGCCAGATAGTGTGAGCCTTATAGGATATAGTAAAGGATTTGAATTCTATACAAAGTTTAATTTAAAAAATGAATATTTTAAAGAAAGGGCATAATAATATGCTACGCATATTTTTTAGTGTTCTGTCTGGCTGCTGTTGTGGAGAACCAATGGAGAATGTTACATTAGGATAATTTGCTGTACCCTAGATTTGTTGTAGTAGCAAATACATGATGTAATTTCAGTGGCTTCATACCAACAACGTTTATTTGTCATTCAAGCACTGAGGCAAGTGGGGAAATGTCTTGATTTGATGAATTGTCAAAGGTATGAGCTTACCGGCTTCTCATCACAAGGCTGTAAGTTTGCCGTAATGGAGAATAAGGACTCAGTAATGCATCAGATGTGAAGCGATGTATAATATATGCCCTCAGTTCTATTTGCTAGACCCCCGTCACATATTAAAATGAACTACAACAGTGAACAGGAAATATAGGGGAGCAATTGATATTCCATGAGCACTAACTGGACATGTCAGACAAGGAAAAAATAAGTGAAGAGTAAGACCTGTTAGGATGCAGTTCTGTAATTAGAATAAATGAGTGAAAAAAAAAGGATTATGAAAAAAGAGTGCTATATTTGGGCCAGGTGTGGTGGCTCACCCTGTAATCCCAGCACTTTGGGAAGCCAAGGTGGGTGGATCACCTGAGGTCAGGAGTTCAAGACCAGCCTGGCCAACATGGTGAAACCCCGTCTCTACTAATAATACAAAAATTAGTCGGGCATGGTGGCACATGCCCTTAATCCCAGCTACGCGGGAGGCTGAGGCAGGAGAACTGCTTGAACCCAGGAGGTGGAGGTTGCAGTGAGCTGAGATCATGCCATTGCACTCTAGCCTGGGTGACAAGAGTGAAACTCTGTTTCCAGAAAAAAAAAAAAGAAAAGAGTGCTATATTTAAAATTGAGGGGTGTGTGTGTGTATGTGTGTGTGAAGTATAACTATAGTGGATTCCTAAGAAGGAAAAGATCATCATTACTAAGGAAATTAAAAAACTTAAAAGTCATTTATGTGAATGTTGAAGTTTTCTCTGCTTATGAAAAGTAATATATATTTCCTAAATAATTTTTTATACCTTTATTTCTACTTTAAGATGAACATTTTAAATGTTTTTATGTTTTGGATTAGAAATACACCCCCTTTGAGTTTGACTAAGTTAAATTTTATAAGTGAGAATCCTGTTTTATCCTAACCTCTCTGTTGACTCTGGTCAGTTTTCTCTGTAACTTTAATGAACAATCATCTTTTGCCACTTTTACCCAGTTATTTCTGTGTTGACGTTTCACGAGTCTGATATTTTATGGAAAGCTAATTTCCTTCCTTCCTTCCTTCCTTCCTTCCTTCCTTTCCTTCCTTCCCTCCCTCCCTTCCTCTCTTTTCTTTCTACATTTATTCACTCATTTGTTTATTTATTGCCATTATGAGCCTATTACATGATGTAAGAAAAGAACTCTGGACTGAGTATCAGGAAGCCTACATTCTTGTTCTAGTTTAACCTGTTATTCTCTATGTCCATTCATTCAACACTATTCAAGATATATTTTTTACATTCTATGTGCAAGTTTCTGAGAGAAGAGTTTACAAGAGTGCCTCCATTGAGCTTAAATTCCATTGGAAAGGAAAGGGATGGAAACAACAAAATCACAACCTTATCTCTTCATGGGCCATTTGTTGAAAAGAACATGGAGTTATAAAGAAAATAAATATCTGTCGATTATAAAATTATTTACAAATGTAGCTTTTGTTGTTTTTTAGCTTTCTGTGCCTTGAAATTTGTTTTCTCCATATATTCCTATGATTTTTGAAGATTATTTTAAACAATATGAGCTGGTCCAGTCAGCTGGTAGTAGTTGTTCTTTTATCAGTACTCCTTAACCCATTATTGGATGGATTTACTGCCTATAGCCGTAGACTGACCTCACTTTTCTTAGGTCAAAGGTAACTCTGACCCACTCCACAGGGCTCCTTCATATTCAGCAAGTCTGACTTTCTGGGTTTCAAACTCTCTGTTAGGAAAATGTGGTGACTTGCTACTTAGATTCCTCTTAGGTAAAACTAGTGTTTGTAATTTCTGAGGCCTGTGGATGAGACACAGTGCAAAAATATCAGGAGTTATTAATAAAGTGTGAGTGTTCACAGTGAGGTCACTGAGAAATGATAGGCGCGAAGGAATTAATCATTCTTACCATGTCTCTGGCAGCGGGAGCTTAAAGTTATAAAATCTTTTGATATTTATAACAGTATTCCTTTCTACATATTTTGTCAAATATTTTGATTTCTTTCATTTTCTGTATATGTGCTCTAAAATATAAGATAGTAAAACAAATTTTATTTTTACATAAGCAGGGCATTAAAATAAATTTTATTAGAAAAATATACTACTTTGTCTATGTGAAACAAGTATTTCTGGTGAGTTTCATTGCCTGATCCCCATTAGACTTTTCATCCCCATAACAATTTTATATTTAGTCAGAGAGGGTAAACCCAAAATCAGCAACACCAAGGATTTCCACAGTCGTGTTCACCAACAGTCAAACATGACTTTATTTAATCCCAGAAATTGTCCCCTAGTTACAATTGGTTTACATGAATAGAAAAGGTCAAACTCCTGGTCTGATTTTGCTTTGTTTTTGTTGTCTTTCCAAGACCTTGTACAGAGTTTAGGTCTTCAGCTTCTTCTTTTCCTTTACTAAAATGTTCTTAAAAGCAGCTTTTAACTAATTCGGTTTTCATAAAGGTTTTCTGGTTGCCATTATTGTTGCTGCTTCTGCTGTTTACTAATAGCTTTTCATTATGAAATGATATATATTATATTGTTATAATTTTATATCATCTATATCATTAATATACTTATATGAGATATATATGTCATATCTATTAAGACTACCTGTGTGTATATTTTTAATTAATCTGTATTATTTTACTCGATTTTATTTAACATCCTTATTTTATTTCTATTACATTTCCTTCATAATAGTTTAATCATAGTCAACACAAGAATCACTCGGGTAAGTTTTTTTTTTTTTTTTCTCTTTTCTGAGACAGAGTTTCACTCTTGTTGCTCAGGCTGGAGTGCAATGGCACAATCTCAGCTCACTACAAACTCTGCCTCCTGGGTCAAGCGATTCTCCTGCCTCAGCCTTCCGAGTAGCTGGGATTACAGACAAGCACCACCATACCCAGCTAATTTTGTATTTTTAGTAGAGATAGGGTTTCATCATGTTGGTCAGGCTGGTCTCAAACTCCTGACCTCAGCTGAGCCACCTGCCTTGGCCTCCCAAAGTGCTGGGATTACAGGAGTGAGCCACCGCACCTGGACAGTAAGTTCTTACTCAAAAAAGAGGAACGAAGATAGATAGATATATAATTTCTTTTTTTTTTTTTTTGAGGTGGAGTCTTGCTCTGTCGCCCAGGCCAGTGTGCAGTGGCACGGTCTCTGCTCACTGCAAGCTCTACCTCCAGGGTTCACGCCATTCTCCTGCCTCAGCCTCCAGAGTAGCTGGGACTACAGGCACCCGCCACCATGCCTGGCTAATTTTTTGTATTTTTAGTAGAGACAAGGTTTCACCGTGTTAGCCAGGATGGTCTCCTGACCTCATGATCCACCCGCCTCGGCCTCTCAATGTGCTGGGATTACAGGCAGGAGCCACCAGGCCCGGCCGGAGATATAATTATTTTATTTTTTCCCCATTGGTATGCAACATATCTCCAACATAAAAAGCTACTCAATTTTGTTAATTAAAGGAAGAAGAGCAACAGGGCAAATCTAAATTTGTAGGTAGACAGTTGAATTACAAGTAAAATGATTCTTCCAAGAAAATATGAATTCTGTCCAGATTTTTAGCTCAAGGAAACTATTAGAATAGTGATAGCACCACGATGACATAAAAGAGTTTTAAAGTCTAGATTTTGAAAAGTTTTGTAGAATTATGTTTTCTTCTTTTAAGATTGGTTCATTCCTTACATGAGAGCACTTATGAAGTTATATACTTTAAATGTTTTGTTCAGTGATGAAAAATTTTGCCCCTGTTAAGTAAAAATCTAAGAGCAGGCTTTAAGAGGCATAGATGCAAATAGAGTCCCTATGTAAATAGTTGGTCAAATTAATCGATATTAATTTAGATACTATAAATAAATCAGAAAGCACTGTAGAACAAAAATATTACTCACTAATAGACCTGAGTATAGAAATAAGTAAATGGCTTTCTGAGAACCCTTTCCGCATTTTGAAATATAGGTTTGATTAATTTGAAGAGATTCAGCAGAGTAACTAAAAGTTTAACATTGCTAACACTAGATTCAGGTAATGAAAATACATATTTCTGGTGTAATTCTCTTTAAAATAACTAAAAATAATTAAAGGCATTTGTGCCAGGCGTTCCCATTCCATTAGACTTCAGAACAAAGCTTTTAAGGAGTATAATTAGCCCTGTTTTGTGGATTCAGAAATTACGCAAAGGTAGGTGAATTAACTCACCAAAGGTTATACAGAAATGAGTACAATTACATAGCAAAATTTGTTCTGTCCCAAAATACACTCTGTTGATAAATGTAAACTTTGTAAATGTGAGCTATTTGACTTTCTCAAAGAGCTTGGCAATTCTCACAATTCAAGTTTTATTTATGAGGAAGGACTGTGTTAATATTGCAGTTTTATATTGTGTTATTAAAGAAATATTAAATGAAGTACCTTCATTTAGGAAAAGATTTTTAAAATATAAATGTTATTTTATTTCTAATTATAAAAATTATTGTTTGCTCATTGGAGGAAAATTGAAAATCATGAGAAGAAAAATATGTTTTCCACTAATTCTAACACTTACCAATAATTACCGTAAAGCCTTTAATATATGTAATTTCAGTATTTTTCTAGGTTTAATCAACAAAAAAGTCATAACATATACACTACATTTTTAAAAAATTAGCAATATATATTTAAGTTTTGTTCTAAAATATTTAACTCCAGCTTGTGGATAGATAATAATGTAGATAGATGTTTGCAATTTTACATAAAATTAGTATAATTGTTCCCATGGAAAAAATAATTACAATATAAACTCCTTGAGGGTGGGGACTTTATTCTCTTATTCATTGCTGTAACTCAGTGTCTGGTACCTAACACATAATGCCCAATAATTATTTTTAACAGAATAAATGGATGAATGAAAGAATAAATTAATTTTTATCTCATGAATTCTTTAAGATAAATAACTTGAAGTGAAACTGCTAAATCAAAGCATATGCATATTTATATATTTTTTATTTATATTGAACATTTGCTTTCTAGGAAGATTTTTACCCAGACTAGCAAAATACAGGATACTAATTTCTTTGATACTCATCATATTGTATATTATTTTATCTCAACTTTCTAAATATAGTCTGAACAAAAAAGAATTTTAAAAAAGATTATTTCATCCTTTGTGAGGTTGACAGTTTCTCTTATTTATATAGGACATTTATGTCTATATATTTGTATCTGTTTTTTCCATTACGTTGATTAGTCTTATCCAAATTATTTTTATTTGCAAAACAATATATGGATGTATGTGAAATACAGTAAAGCAAACCAGACATGAGATTTGATTAATACTTCCATGTGTATTAATTGAGATAATATTAAAATATCACTCTTATTCATTGATCAAACTCAATATATTAATAGTATTCTAATATCATCTGATATCTAGCCCATGATCAATTTGTATTGATGTTCCCTAGAAATCTCCAAAGGGGTTCCGGGGATTTGTTTTACTTTTGTAGTATCAGAATGAACACACAAATTTTTGTATATTTGATGCTTTTCAATTCATTATTCTTTTTGATACCAAACTTAGACTGTTTTGACCAGTGGTTTGGCTCCTTGTCGTTTTCTTATGACCTCAGAAGTCTTTGATAGCTTCTTTGCTTTAAATTAAGAAAAACAAAATGTCCAGATTCATTTTGTACGTTTCCTTACCTCACTTCTTGAATCAAAAATGTCTCCAAGGATGTCTTATTGGTTATTGTGATCTATATGAATTTTTTTATTTTTTATTTTTTTTTGAGACACAGTATCACTTTGTCGCTAGGCTAGAGTACAGCTGTGTGATCTCGGCTCACTGCAACCTGCAA